>NC_000001.11:12746290-12954384 GCF_000001405.40 Homo sapiens
AGTCATCTACTAGCCATTCAGGAGGCCAGCTGGGAAGACAAAATAGGCACCCCAAACTCAGCAACTTCATAACACCTTCCTCTCCCCGCCTGAAGCCTTAAACTGCATCAAGTCAAAGAAACCTGGGGCAAATCCTTAACATGTTTTTGACTGCAGTAAATCCACAGCCACTCTCTACTCCGAGCTGGCAGATTGAGACCAAGTATTCAACGAAAGTGCTCACTGGAAATTGGATGGAAGAGAGGAGAAAGGTAAGGAAACGAGAGAGGTTGGAGAGAGGGCTCAGAGGGACTGATGGGGAGAGGCAGGAGTGAAGTTCATCACTATTTTCAAATGGAGGGCAGCAGATGATTGCATCTTAAAAATGTGGCATTGGGGTCTCTGTGCTCTACAAAGGATAGTTACATTCAAGCAATCATCAATATTCACGCATTTTGCATGGTTTCTATGACTGTTTCATACATGATGGTTATCGAAAAGACCACTGACACTCTCTTACAGATATAACAGGGGCATTGAAAATACTGTAACAGGGTGTCAATATAGTCGTGCCTCTCAGCACTCTTCTCAGTGAAGTGTTTCTAGGCATCTGGATGTTTTCTGTCCTTAATTCCTTTGTACCTTAATTTGAAGAACATTTGCTCTCCTCATTCTGGCCCTTCCCAGAATATGGTATCTCCTGAGGCCAGCTTGCCACTCTCTGTGCTGATGTCCAGGGATTTGCTGCTGCTCTCTGGCACCTTTCCACAATCCTGCCCTACTAATGCATTTCAATTTTTACTTTTTTTTTTTTTTGAGACAGAGTCTCGCTCTGTTGCCCAGGCTAGAGTGCAGTGGCATGATCTCGGTTCACTGCAACCTTCACCTCCCAGGCTCAAGCGATTCTCTTGCCTCAGCCTCCCAAGTAGCTGGGACTACAAGTGCATGCCACCATGCCCAGCTAATTTTTTGTATTTTTAGTAGAGATGGGGCTTCACCATGTTGGCCAGGCTGGTCTTGAACTCCTGAGCTCAAGTGATGTGCCGACCTTGGCTTCCCCAAGTGCTGGGGTTACAGGCATGAGCCACTGTGCCTGGCCTCAATTTTTGCTTTCAAACAGAACAATTTGGCTCTTGGTTTTCCACTGTGTTTTAAAGGTCTTTGGAAAATACTTTGCCTGAGTTGGCAAAGTTTCAAGTTGGCATACTTGAAATTGAATATCTTCATTTGTGTTTGGCAAGACTGAGCCACTTAAAGCTTTTCAGAGACATCTAGACTTCCCCATGTCTTCTTGGGAAGTGGGCAAGGAAAAGAAGGTGAAATAGAATACTCAGCTTTGGTATGGGGAAAAGAAGGGAAGGTTAAAGGCTGTTTTCCTGGAGAACATTAGTAATCACCACCTCTCTGGCCAGATACAACCTTCAGTCATCATCAGCTACAAATGTACTTGGCCTTGTTTGGTGAGCAGGTGTGTGCAAGAGAAGTTCCAAAAGCAAGAAGGACTGGTTGAAAATACCTTCAGGTGCCCATGGGTGATGCAGTACTCAGGGATATTATGGGATGGTCTCACACCTAGAGAAGATTGCATAAAAATAGTGGAGTTGGAGTGATGTCAACAAGGTAGCAGACTAAGAAGCTCCAGGTTCTCATTCCCCATGGAAACATTAAAGAAAAAAGCACAAAAACGTTATAGGAGCTCTGGAAAACAGTCAAAGATATATAGCGACAAATCAAATGCCCAATCAAGAAAAAGACACATTCAAAATGAATAGGAAATTCCATGATGTTTTTACTTGTCCTCTCCTACTACCACCCCAGCACAGCACAGCATAGTCTGCATTTTAGGGTAAGTGGCAGCTCGGCTCCAAGTTCCCTCTTTCAAATCCAGAGTGAGTGGAGCAACATTTGAACCTGTCTGGGGCTGCCTGAGGGATTGCTCTCTATTTCGTCTAACTTGGAGCTCAGATGGGAAAAGGTGGCATGGTTCAGATCTCAGCTGGGAAAAGCCATGGAAAGCAATGATAGGCACAGCTAGTGAAAGCTGCCAGGGGATTACAGATCTATAAATATCTGGGGCAAGAGATTATGGATAGAGGAATACAATAGAACATCTGAAGTCGAAGAAGAAGCAGGGGTGAGACTTTTTTTTGGAAATTAAAACATTTAAAAGCAGCTGTGTATGTAGGGGAATTAAAAAAAAAAAAAAAAAAACCACACACAGGTCCAGGCAAGATGTACACCAGAAAAGAGTTGAGAATATTTTAAGCCTTCATGTTGGGCTGACCCCAAGACTCAGAACATTACCTGCTAGTTAGAAAAGGTCTTCCCTGCACAGAGTCAGTCTACAAATACTGGAAGATTTGGCTGCTTTTCAAACGCCCAATTTTCAACGAAAAATCACCAGACGTATGAAGATACAGAAAAAAAAAGTGGCCCATCCAAAGGAAGAAAATAAAGTGAGAGAATAAACACAAGCATCAAGGTACTAGTCAAATACTTTAAAACAACCATCTTAAATATGGACAAATAGGTAAAGGACACAAAGAACTAAAGTAAATCAGGAAAACAATACATGAGCAAAATGAGAATATTAAAAAGGAGATTGAAATTATAAAAAGGAGTCAAACCAGTTTTAGAGCTGAAAAATGCAATAACTGAATTGAAAAATTCAATAGAGGGATTCAGCAGCAGATTTGAATAGGCAGGAGAAAGAATCAGCAAATTTAAAGGCAGTGAACAGAGCCTAAGGGACTTATGGGACACTATGAAGCAGATTAATACATGCATTAAGGGAATTCCATAAGGAGAAGAGAGAGAGAAAGGGGCTAAAAGAGTATTTGAAAAAATAGTGATTAAAATCTTCCCAAATTTGAGTAAATACATAAATCTACAAATCCAAGAAGTTCAATGAACTCCAAGTATAAAAAATCTAAAGAGACCCTCATTGAAGCACTTTATAATTAAGATATTGAAACCCAAAAACAAAGAGAGAATCTTGAGAGCACTAGGAGAAAAGTAACTCATCAAGAACAATGGCTCCTCAGTGAGATTGTTATGGGATTGACAGATGTGGTGGCTCATGCCTGAATCTCAGCACTTTGGGAGGATAAGGCAGGTAGATTGCTTGAGCCCAGGAGTTCGAGACCAGCTGGGCAACATGGTAAAACCCTATGTCTACAAAAGATATACAAATTAGCTGGGCACAGTGGTATATGCCAATAGTCCTAGCTACTCAGGAGGCTGAGGTGGGAGGATCACCTGAGCCTGGGAGGTGGAGGTTCTAGTGAGCCGAAATCATGCCACTGCACTCCAGCCTGGGAAACAGAGTGAGAGTGAGGCCCTGTCTTAAAAAAACACAAAAAAACAAAAACAGATTATTAGGGATTTTCTCAGCAGAAACCTTGGAGCCTGGAAGGCAGTGGGATAATACATTTAAAGTGCTGGTAAAAAAAATACTGTTATCTGATAATTCTGTATTCCACAAAATTGTCTCTTGAAAAAGAGGGAGATGTTAAGACATTCCCAGATAAACAAAAGCTGAGGGTGTTTATTGACAGTAGACCTACCTTGCAAGGAAGACTAAAGAGAATCCTTCAAGTTGAAACAAAAGGACATTAGACAGTAACTTGAAGCTGTGCAAAAATATAAAGTTCTCCAGTAAAGGTAAATATGTAGACAAACTTAAAAGCCAGGATTATTATAATTTTGGGATGTAACTCTACTCTTTATTTTTGACAGAATTTAGAAGACAAATGCATAAAATTATAAATCTATGTAAATGAGTCTGCATTATATAAAGATGTAATTTGTGCCTTCAATAACATAAAGCAGAGGGAGGCAGAGCTATAAAAGAGTAGAGTTTTGGTATACAATTTCAGTTGGTCGCAATTTAAAATATGTTGTTATAACTGTAGGATATTGTGTATAATCCCCATGGGACCCACAAAGAAAATGCCTATAAAATATTCACAAAAGAAAATAATAAGGGAATCAAAATGTGGCCCTCAAAAATTAAACACAAAAGAAGATAGTAAGAGAACAAATAAGGGGCAAAAATCTACAAGACATACAGAAAACAAATACTAAAATGGCAAATATAAGTCCTTCCCTATCAGTAATCACTTTTAAATGTAAATGGATTAAACTTCCAAATGAAAGGCATACATTAGCAGAGAGATTTATAAAACAGGATCCAACTATATGCTGCCTACAAGAGAGTGACTATAGATTGAAGTACACATGTAAGTTGAAAGTGAAAGGAAGCAAAAAGATATTTTGTGCAAATAGTGCCAGAAGGGAGCAGGTATGGCTAGTATCAGACGAAGTAGGCTTTAGGTTAAAAACTATTATGAGACAAAGAGGGACACTATATATTGATAAAAGGGCCAATTCACCAAGAAGAAGGTACAATAGTTACACACATGTACACACCAAATATTAGAGCTCTGAAATAAATGAAGCAAAAATGGACAGAATTGAAGGGAGAAATAGATGGCTCTACAGTAATAGTAGAACAACCCTATAGATCAATTGGACCTGATAGGCACTCCACCCAACAAAGGCAGAATACGTGTGTTTTTTTTTTCTCAAGTACATATGGAATATTCTCCAGGATATACCATATGTTAGACTACAAAACAAGTTTTAATAAATTATAAAGATTAAAATCATACAAAGTATCTTTCCTGATCACAAATGAAATGAACTTAACGATTAATAGCAGAAGAAATACTGAAAAATCCACCAATATGTGGAAATTAAACAACACTGTTTTAAAAAAAATCAGTAAAGAGAAAAATCACAGAAAAATTAAAAAATAGTAATGAAAATACAACATACCAAAACTTATGGGAGGTAGTGAAAGTACTGTTAAGAGGGAAATTTACAGCTGTAAACACATTAAAAAAGAAGAAATATCTCAAATTAGAAACCTAGCTTTACACTTTAAGAAAACAGAAAAAAAAGAACAAACTAAATGCAAAGCTAGCAGAAGGAAGGAAATTAAATATTTAGAGAAGAGATAAGTAAAATAGGAAATAGGAAAACAACAGAAAAAATCAATAAAACCGAGTTGGGACCGGGCGCGGTGGCTCATGCCTGTAATCCCAGCACTTTGGGAGGCCGAGGTGGGTGGATCATCTGAGGTCAGGAGTTTGAGACCAGCCTGGCCAACATGGCGAAATCCCGTCTCTACCAAAAATACAAAAATTAGCTGGGTGTCGTGGTGCATGCCTGTAATTCCAACTACTAGGGAGACTGAGGCAGGAGAATTGCTTGAACCTGGGAGGCGGAGGTTTCAGTGAGCCGAGATTATACCACTGCACTCCAACCTGGGTGACAGACCGAGACTCCATCTCTAAACAAACAAGCAAGCAAACAAAGAGAAAACCAAATTGGTTTTTTGAAAAATCAATAAAATTTACAAATGATTATCTATATTGACTAACGGAAAAAAAGAGAAGAGATGCAAGTAACTAAAATTAGAAATGAAAGTGTAAAATAATTACCAACTTTTTTCTGACATAAAAAGATAATAAGAGAATACTGTGAACAATTTATGCTAACAATTGGAATATTTATATAATTCTCCATGAAATGGAGAAATTCCAAGAAATATACAATCTATCGAGACTGAATTATAAAGAAATAGAAAATCTGAATAGATCTATAACTAGTGAAGAGATTGAATTAGTAACCAAAAATCTCCCAACAAAGGAAAGCCTAAGACCAAATGACTTCAGTGGTGAATTCTAACAAATATTTTGAAAAGAATTAACATCAGTCCTTCTCAAATGCTTCCAGAATATTGAAGAGGAAGAAATAAATTCTAACTAATTTTATGAGCTCAGCATTACCCTGATACTAAAGGCGAAGACATCACAAGAAAAGAAAACTACAAACCAATATTCCTTATGAATATTGATGCAAAAATCCTCAAGCAAATAGTAGAAACCCCCATTCAATATTATAT
This sequence comes from Homo sapiens, assembly GCF_000001405.40. Lineage (NCBI taxonomy): Eukaryota > Metazoa > Chordata > Mammalia > Primates > Hominidae > Homo > Homo sapiens. The sequence goes on from NC_000001.11 coordinate 12,752,241, forward strand.
TAAAAGGGTTATAGACACCATGACCAAGTGAGATTCCTTCCTGGAATGCAAGAATGGTTCAGGGCTGGGCATAGTGGCTCATGCCTGTAGTCCCAGCACTTTGGGAAGCCAAGGCAGGCAGATCAGTTGAGGTCATGAGTTTGAGACCAGCCTGGCCAACATGATGAAACCTTGTCCCTACAAAAAATACAAAAATTAGCTGGGCATAGTGGCATGTGCCTGTAGTCCCAGCTTGAAAATTGCTTGAACCTGAGAGGTGGAGGTTGCAGTGAGCCAAGATCTCACCACTGCACTTCAGCCTGGCCGACTCTGTCTAAAAAAAAAAAAAAAAAAAAAAAAAAATTAATATATAAAAATTAACCAATATACTAGAATGAAGGAAAAAAAGACATGATCATCACAATGTAGAAAAAGCATTGTGCAAAATTAAACTTCTTTTTATAAAGAAAAGCATTTGACAAACTAGGCATAGAAGGAAACTGCCTCAACATAGTAACAAAAACCCACAGCTAACATAATACCCAATGGTGAAAGATTGAAAGCTTTTCCTTTAAGATTAGGAATAAGACAAAAATGCCAGCCTTTTCCACTTTTGTTCAACATAGTGCTGGAAGTTCTAGCCAGAAAAATTAGGAAAGAAAAGGAAAAGCTTCCAAATTGGAAAGGAAAATGTAAAATTTTCTCTCTTTTCGCAGATGGCATGATTTTATATACAGGAAACCTCTAATGATTTTATATATAGGAAACACACACACATGCACCCATACACAAACTGTTAGAACTAATAAATGAGTTAAGCAAAGTATGCAAAAGTTGATTGTGTTTGTAAACACTAACAGTGAACTCTGAAAAGGAAATTAAGAAAATTCCATTTACAGTAACATCAAAAAATAAAGTATTTAAGAGTAGACTTAACCAAGGAGATGAAAGACTTATATACATTGAACACTACAAAACACTGCTGAAAAATATAAAGAGGACATAAATAAATGGAATGACACCCTGTGTTCATGGATGGAAGACTTAATATTGTTAAGATATCAATACTACACAAAGCTATCTACAGATTCAATGCAATCATTATCAAAACCCCAGTAAAGGTTTTTTTTTTTTGCAGACATAAAATCCATCCTAAAATTCATATAAAATCTCAAGAGACTCCAAATGGCCAAAACAATCTTGAAAAAAAGAACAAAATTGGAAGACTCACATGTCTCAGTTTCAAAACTTACTAAAAGCTACAGTAATCAAGACAGTGTGATACTGGCATACAGATAGATACATAGACCTATAGAACAAAAGAGAGAGCCTAGAAATAAACATTTGTATATACGGTCAAATGACTCTTGACGAGGATGCTAAACCTGTTCAATGGGGGAAAGGACAATTTCTTCAATAAATGGTGTTCAGTAAAGTGGATATCTAGGTGCGAAAAAATAAAGTTAGACCCTTCCCTAATTCCATATACAAAACTGAACTCAAAGTGGATCAGAGACCTGGATGAGACCTAAAACTACAAAACTCTTAGAAGAAAACATAGGGGGCTGGGTGTGGTGACTCATGCCAGTAATCCCAGCACTTTGAGAGTCTGAGGCAGGAGGACTGCTTGAGGAAAGGAGTTCAAGACCAGCCTAGGCGACACAGCAAGAACTTATCTCTCTCTTTTTTTTTAATTAAATAAAAAAAGAAGAAAACATCGGGGAAAATTCTCATGACATTGGCTTTAGCAAGAATTTCTTGATGTGACACCAAAAGCACAGGCAACACAAGAAAAAAATAATAAACTGGACGTCATCAAAACAAAAAACTTTGTGCCTCAAAGGACACTAACAACAGAGTAAATGACAACCAATGGAGTAGGAGAGAATATTTGCAAATCATATATCTGATAAGGGACTAATATCCAGAATATGTAAAGGACTTCTATAACTCAACAATAGCCAAAGACAAGCAACCTGATTAAAAAATGACAAAGGAGCTGAATAGGTATTTCTCCAAAGAAGATGTACAAATGGCCAATAAACACATAAACATAGTCAACCTCACTGATTATTAGGGAAATCCAAATCAAAATTACAATGAGATACCACTTCACCCTTTAGTATGGCTAGTATCAAAAAACAGAAAATATCAAGTGTTGGTGAGGATATGAAGAAATGGGCACCCTTGTGCCCTAAATGGTACTGCCACTGTGGAAAACAATATGGGAGTTCCCAAAAAAAATTAGACATAGAATTACCATATGATCCAGCAATTACACTTCTGGTTGTATGCCTAAAAGAATCGAAAGCAGGGACTCAAAAAGATATTTGTACATTCACATTAATAGTAACTATTCACAGTAACCAAAAGTTGGATGCAACCCAAGTACCCACTGATGGATGAATGGATAAACAAAACATGGTGTAAGTGTATCATGGAATATAATCAAACCTTAAAAAGGAAGAAGATTCTGACACATGCTATCAAATGGATGAATTTGGAAGACATTATACTAAGTGAGCTAAGACAGACACAGAAGGACAAACATTGTGTGATTCTACTTACATAGGGTGCCTGTAACAGGCAAGTTCATACAGAGAAAGTAGAGTGATGGTAGCAAGGGGCTGCAGTGACAGGAGAATGGAGAGTTGGTGCTTAACGGTCACAGAGTTTCAGTTTTGCAATGTAAGTAAAGTTCTAGAGATGGATGGTGGTGATGATTGCACAACAGCGTGAATGTCACTGAACCGTAGAGTTGAAAATGGCTAAAATGGTAAATACATTTTATGTTGAATATATTTTACCATATTAAACTTTAAGAAAACTAATTAGAGAACAAAATGTAATTTGAAAGGTGAGAGAGTTGGAAAGAATGAGGAACAAAGAAGAGAAAGAAAGGGAGGGCCGGGCACAGTGGCTCATGCCTGTAATCCCAGCACTTTGGGAGGCCGAGGCACGTGGATCACAAGGTTGAGAGATCGAGACCATCCTAGCCAACATGGCAAAACGCCCTCTCTTCTGAAAATACAAAAATTAGCTGGGCATGGCGGCCCATGCCTGTAATCCCAGCTACTCAGGAGGCTGAGACAGGGGAATTGCTTGAACCCGAGAGGCAGAGGTTGCAGTGAGCCGAGATTGCGCCACTGCACTCCAGCCTGGTGACAGAGTGAGACTCCATGTCCAAAAAAAAAAAGGAGGAGGCAAAGAGGAGAGAAGAGCAGGGAGAGAGAAGATGAGAAAGGACACAGGTGCGGATGATGAGGTGACCAGGGGAGCCAATGACAGCTCTTCCCGGGGGTGCCGGATGGCAGGCTCCCCGTCCCCGAGCAAGCTCTTTCCTGTGTTGGGCAGGGTGTCCAGGGGTTTATATTTACCTTTTCCCTACCCATCTTCTGATGGCCCAGGAGGTAAGGGGACCCAGCAGAAGTTTGAGAAGTGGCATCTCAGAGGTTTTCCTGAATATTTGGTCTTTTCCAGTTCACCAGAGACACTGACAAGACACCCCAATCCATTTACAGAAAAGAATACATCCCCTTCCCAGACCACAGACCAGACCAGATCTCCAGGTGGTATGGGAAGAGGAAAGTTGAGGTAAGAGGGAGTGGCAACTGGGACACTCAGGCCTGGACCCCACCCAAAGCTCAGGGGACACCAGCCAGCTTCTTATAGGCTTAGTACCGTCTTGGGGGAAATCAGGAGTAGTCTCATTAATACCCTCCCAGCCCGGGGGCTGCAGATAGCACTAACCAATAATTACCTGTGTGGGCTGATGATCTGTTTAATGTCAAACTGGTAGCATTCCCTCCAACCTATATCCCAGCACCTGGATCACACTCTTCCAACAGAATATAGGCAAAGAATGCAAGAAATAGCAACCAAAGGTAAATGATGCATATAGTCAGGAATCACATAAGGCACTGCAAAAGCAGCTGGCAGTGATGTATTTGGACAAACAGTGTTGTGTATTATCTGTGCTCCAGCTTCCTGTTCTTTCGCATGAAAAGTCAAGCACCATCCACACACCGTATTGACTGGGCACTTGTCTAGGAATCATGGTGTTCCAGGTGTTGGAAGCAGAGAGCAGGGCATTGCAACCTCAGAACATGCCCTCCACACCCAAGGAGGGGCATTTGAGACTATTATTATCTTTAGCAATCCCACTAGTGAGTATGTAGGAGACAATTATTAACTTGGTGTGCCAGAGGCTGAGATCCTGGCCCTTCCAGGAACAGCAGGGAAAGCCGTCTCCTGCAATAACCCCTGTGGGTAGCTCCCAGCAGGCACAGCCTGGGGAGAGCAAGCTTGTAGGTGCTCACCCACTGGGTGTGCAGCTGTGCTCTGTCCCCACCACACTCTGGGAGTTCCCTTGAGTTGTTTCTTTTGCCAGCCTGCTGCTCTTATAAGCGATTTCTGTCTCCCCACTCCCACCCCACCTGACCCTACTATACCTGCTTCAACTCAGGGTGGCAGCAGACAGACATGGATTAAGGTAGTGGACATCTTTTGGAATTGGGGCATTTTAGTGCTTGGAGGGACCCAAGAGATTCATTCAGCTCAGCGGCCCGAGGTGTGAAGTGGCTTTTTCAAAGCTGTGTGGCTTGTTGTTAGGGATGAAGCAAGTTGCTGCTCTGCAAATCAGGCAAAGAGTGTCCTCAGATTCCATTCCTCATCTGCCAGAGTCGCCTATTTGCATTCTGCATTTAGGGATCCATGTCAGGATAAGCAGCAACAGATTTTCAGCTCTGTGCTGGCAACCCCAGATGACTCCCTCATCCTCAGACCACACTGACATCTCCAAGCAAGCTGATGCTCTGGGGCTGCTGAGCTTCACCAGCAGTGCGCATTAAAGACACAAATGAATTTTAACATAAACAAGTCAAAGTTAGAACCCAGGATCTGGGGCTCTCAGCCTCTAACCATCCATGTATGTGAGGTATTGACCCTAGTTTTCAGTGCATTGCAGAACATTTAGATAGCCTTTGGACCCATTACAAGCTCTGACTAAGAGTTTAACATACAGTCTGGTTAAAATTAAGAACTCCACCCACCACCCCCCCGCATTGTCATCTCCAACAGAACAGACGATGGAATATTCATTTCTTTTTTTCTTTTCTTTTCTTTTCTCTTTTCTTTTCTTTCTTTTTCTTTTTTTTCCTTTTTTTCTTTTCTTTTTTTTTGAGATAGAGTCTCTCTCTGTCCCCCAGGCTAGAGTGCAGTGGTGTGATGTTGGCTCACTGAAACCTCAGCCTCCTGGGTTGGAACAATTCTCCTTGCCTCAGCCTTCCAAGTAGCTGGGATTACAGGTGTGTGCCAACACAGCTGGCTAATTTTTTTTGTATTTTTAGTAGAGATAGGGTTTTGCCATGTTGGTCAGGCTAGTCCTGAACTCCTGGTCTCAAGTAATCTGCCCACCTTGGCCTCTCAAACTGCTGGGATTACAGGCGTGAGCCACGGCACCTGGCCCTGAATATTTATTTTTAAGGTTTCTGTTCAAATTGCCTGCTTGTGGGATGGGGCCCTGAACATAACCCTGCTTCCACACAGCTGCTTCAACTCTGTCAGCTCTTCTGTTTGCTTCATGTTGCCCTCCTTCTCCTAGGACAGCTTCCTCCTCCATCTCCCACTCCCACTTTGCTCTTCCTTGTTAGGCAAAAATGACTCCAAAGCCCGTATCCCCAACCGCCTCCTTTATCTAATTCTCACATACCAAGCCAATATTTCCTCTGCCTTAAATCACCCCAGGGCCAAGTAGTGGACACTAGAGACCTCCCCTAGGGCCCAGAGCCCACAAAAACTATTCACACTATCCAGTCCTAAACTTGTCCACCGTGCCTCGCCCAATGGTTCCCATGGAAACCACAGTAAAGGCTCTGGGCCCTGCCCCTCCACCTTGTTCCTTCTGCCTCCCGACCAGAGACCAATGCTGGTTCTTCCTGATGTGGCCCTGCAGGGCATGGCGTGCCCTTCCTCTTGAGAACTGTAAGTAACAAGCTCTCCTTTCAAAGGTAGCTGTCTCTGTGGCTGTCACTTTCCCAAACCCTAATAAGGAAAAATCCCAGGCATACAGTAAAGACACACCCCAAATCAAGAGAAACTGCAAGAAAATTCCTCCTGGCCTCTCTACCTCCCATGCCACGAGGCTGCTTCTGCAATTCCCTTTGTTGATGGGAAACCCTCCAAGTCACTTTGGCATTAGAAATACACTATGGGGTACCTGGTGATGTGGATCTTGGGAATCCTGCTTAATGTCTGTGCCCACCCCCCTTGTCTTCCTCTGGCATTGTGATCTGACTTATTTATGGGGCCACCACTTGAAATATTGGGTGCAGCCGGCATTTCCAGACCATAGCAGACACAGGCCTCCCTGTCTGCTCCAGACAAGAGGGCAAGCATGGAAATCAACATTATGCCCCCTTGTAAGTCAGTGCAGATCCCCAGGATTCCCTTCTGGGCCCAAGAGGATTTTCTTAGGAAAAGCACTGATTCAGGCAAACATCCCAGAGTAAGGAGAACATGGCTTTCTTCTCACTGTAAATTACTCCTCACCAAAGAAATCACTCCCCTAGTTTCCAGCTGAGCAAGCTGTAAATCCTGTGCAAGAGAAGGCAATTTATGGGGTGTTCTCTGATTCTTCCCACAGTAACAGACTGAAATATAAGGCATACATGTCAGGCTGGCTTTCACCATCTTGTCCTTGCCCTTAGGAACAGGCTTGGATTCATGAGACTTGAGACAAATCAGGCTGCAATTTCAGATCACAAGTGAGGTGGTGCTGACTCTTCCCATTCAGCAGGATGTCCTGGCTTTAATTTTAATGTGCCACCATAGCTCATTCTAGGAATGAATTGACTTGGCATGGGACCGGCCATACAGAGAACTAACTGCAGCCAGCTGGGATGTGTTTGAATGTGGGATGCCTCAGAGTGGGATAAACAAGTGTGTTTCTGAAGACCCTTTGCCAGCCCACGGATGCCCGCTCTCTCCATCAGCACCACAGACCCCTACATGTGGCAGCTCCTGTCTCCACCATGGCCAGGTGGATGCTTCGCTCCTATCAGTAACGAGCCCACTGTGTCTGTCCTTCCAGGGGCTACCTTACAAACACCTGATCACCCACCACCAGGAGCCCCCACATCGCTACCTGATCAGCACCTATGACGACCATTACAACCGGCATGGTTACAACCCGGGGCTGCCTCCACTCCGCACTTGGAATGGACAGAAGTTGCTGTGGCTGCCAGAGAAGTCTGACTTTCCCCTTCTTGGTACCTTTATAATTCAGGGTATTCCTCTGCGTTGGTCTGTAAAGTTGCACAGACCAACGGAGCTGTACCTGCCTCATGCAGAAGGAGCCACACAGGTGACCCTGGCTCCAGGAGAGCAGCGGATGACATAGTAGGGGCTGAGTTCTATTGTACCCTCAGGGCTGCCTCCTGTCCTTTCCCTTTGACCTGGGGTAATCTTGGCTGTGTAATGAAGCCATCACCTGTGCCCCATGGTGGCGGGCTTAGAGCACAGGTGGCAGGGAGCAACATCCACGCATCCTTCCTCCCAGTCTTATTTACTACATGAATAATGACAATATTTCCCAGGTAGTGCTCCCTGCTGCAATGATAACAAACACTGAGGAATTTCTGGACTCGGGGAGTTGACATTCCAGGGGGGAAACAGATAAGACACCATTAAAAAGTAAGAACACTTAAGATCACATAGATAATTTTAGACAGGAGTGTGCGCTATAAAGAAAACAGGTAATGGAGAGAAAGTGAGGTGGTGAATTTGTGAACCTCCTTTGGTTCACAAATTCCTCCTTGGAAAAGTGAGGGGTGGTCTTTGTTGAGGAGATAGAGTTGAATTGGGAAGAAGGGAGCCATACAGGGATTGAGGGGGAGGACATTCCAGAGGAAGGAACAGTAAATGAAAAAGTTCTAAGGCAGGAATGGAGGAGGATCATGTAGGGGTTCATAGGGCACAGTGAAGGGAATGAAATTTGTCCTATCCACAATCCCAAGACTTGGAATGCACTTTTGTAGGAGAGTGCCTTGATGTGATTTACATTTCAAGCCACGTCCACACTAGTGAGGACACAGAGCAGTGCCAGCTCTTTGTGGTCCTACCTTTTGATGCAAAGGGACACAGGTCAGAGGATGAGCTGCTGGTCACTCTGCATTACTTTTGCATGGGATTCTTCTCAACATCACTCTCAGTGCACACAGCTTCCTTCCCGACAGGGGTGGGACAATTACTCAGGACCAGCGAGGCCACGCACAACCACACCATGGGGCTGACTTTTCCAAGGCCCCCGTGGCAGAGCCTGATCTCCCCTGAGCACTTGGGATGCAGGTGCACCTTGAGACCGCCAGGGGCTGGCTGAACCAATGCTCTCTGCAAGGCTCTTCCCTGTGGGCCTCTGCCAGCCTTGGTCCCTGACAGAGCAGCCTGGGAAAATCTCCAGGGCCCCTGCTGCCCAGTCTCGTGGCCATTGGCCATTTAGAGCAAGACTCCTTCTGTAAGCCCCATTCAACTGGACCCTGGTTTCTCTTGCAGCTCCCCCTACAAACTATGGACTCTATGAGCAGCTCAAGCAGAGACAGCTCACACCCAAGGCTGGCCTGAAGCAGAGCACTTATACTTCATCCTACCCCAGACCACCGTTGTGCGCTATGTCCTGGAGGGAGCATGCGGTCCCGGTCCCTCCCCATCGCCTGCATCCTCTCCCACACTTCTGAGAGCTGCCACCCCAGGAGCAGCTCAGATAGAATCAGCTGGAGACCACAGCATCACTGGACTTGCCAGACAACAAGTGGCGCAGATAAACTCAGAGTACGAGATCTGGCCCGTCAAAGGTGCTCTCAGAATCATCATCTGCATTTGGCGGTACCTGTCCCCCCTCAAAACCCACAGGTTCCTTTCTTTTCCATCCAACAATTAAAGATCTTTGACACTATTGCAGGGCTATGTACGTGCACAAGACAGATTCAGACTGTCAGAGAAAACAGGAAGGGCCCTTAAGTTCTACCCTGTTGTTTCACAAGAGGGGAAACTGAGGCCCGGAGAGGTAATGTGACTTGCTGAAGAGTCTACTCCCATGGAGGAAATGAATCTGATGATGAAACCCATCATGAAAACTCCACAGAATGACTGAATGTGGTTCCCAGGAGGGCAGTGCTGCAGAGCTGGCAATGGGGAAGGACCCCAGCTTGTCTGTCATTGCCAAGGCAGAGGAAGGCGTGCTCTGGCCCCACGGGGCTCAGAAGAAGGGGAAAACACATGGCATTTCCTTTGTCTCTGAGCTCGCAAATCTTTGTGTTTTTTTTTTTGTTTTTTTTTTTGAGACGGAGTGTCGCTCTCTTGCCCAGGCTGGAGTGCCGTGGCACGATCTCAGCTCACTGCAACCTCTGCCTCCAGGGTTCAAGCGATTCTTTTGCCTCAGCCTCCTGAGTAGCTGGGACTACAGGTGCGCACCACTACGCCTGGCTAATTTTTGTATTTTTAGTAGAGACAGGGTTTCACAATGTTGGCCAGGCTGGTCTCGAACTCCTGACCTCGTGATCCGCCTGCCTCGGCCTCCCAAAGTGCTGGGATTAGCAGGCGTGAGCCACCGCACCTGGCTGAGCTCTCAAATCTTTATGAGCCTGGGCAGAGGGGAGAACCTCTGGTGAGTGATTTGGGAGAGAGGGTGGATCTCCTAGCAGAAGAACTCAGGCATGGTCCTCGCCCAGGACAGGGGTCCACAAGTGTGCATGCTCAGTGCTCGCACAGAGCTGCCTCTTTGAAGAAATTCCAGCAGACACCTTTGGCCCTTTGCATGCTTGGCTCATGGGCACAGGTGTGTTTTGTCAGTGATTTTGTACTGCACACCAATAATATGACTCCCAGTATGGGAGCCTGAGTCTCTGCCATTGTTTTCACAGGATACCTGCTGGCCTCAGGCCACCTACCTTAGGGTCACTTTGGCACCTACTAAGTTCCTTCCTTAGTCATCCAAGTGTCCATGTAAGGACGCTGTCTTCCATCCCAACTGAAAGTCAGAGCCTGACACAGGCTAAGTCCTCTATGTTTGTTGGATGAGTGAATGACAGGAGTTGAACAAATGAGTTGAATGAATGAATGACAGGAGGAGGAGCCAGGGGGTGCAGAAAGGTTGCACCTACCTTAGGGTCACTTTGGCACCTACTAAGTTCCTTCCTTAGTCATCCAAGTGTCCATGTAAGGACGCTGTCTTCCATCCCAACTGAAAGTCAGAGCCTGACACAGGCTAAGTCCTCTATGTTTGTTGGATGAGTGGATGACAGGAGTTGAACAAATGAGTTGAATGAATGAATGACAGGAGGAGGAGCCAGGGGGTGCAGAAAGGTTGCTGCAGGAGACAGCTGTGGGATGGAGTGGAGCTGGCTGTCCTCACACCTCCAACATCCAGCCTTTCTATTGAGCATCCATTGAGCCATGTCTGGGCCAGGCCCTGACCTCACAGAGCCTCAGTCCAGCAGTCAGGGAGGAGCATGAGGTAAATGGCTGCAGGACAGAGAGGTGCTGCAGCTGGAGGCCCTGGGGGACAGCGATGGATTGCGAGGAGTGAGGGAGACCCAGGATATGCTAAGCAGGGGCGTCTAATCTTTTGGCTTCCCTGGGCTACATTGGAAGAAGAATTGTCTTGGGCCACACATAAAAAAATGAACAGGGGCTGGGCGCAGTGGCTCATGCCTGTAATTCCAGCACTTTGGGAGGCCTATATGGGCGGATCACCTGAGGTCAGGAGTTTGTGACTAGCCTGTCTAGCACAGTGAAACACTGTCTCTATTAAAAATACAAAAATGAGCTGGCATAGTGGTTCATGCCTGGAATCCCAGCTACTCCAGAGGCTGAGGCAGCAGAATCGCTTGAACCCAGGAGGCGGAGGTTTCAGTGAGACCAGATGGTACCACTGCACTCCAGCCTTGGTGACAGAGTGAGACTCCATCCCAAAAACAACAACAACAACAACAAACTTACACTAACGGTAGCTGATGAGCTAAAAAAAAAATCGCGTAAAAAAACCCCATAATGTTTTAAGTAAGTTTACAAATTTATGTTGGGCCACATTCAGCCTGCAGGCGGAGGGTTGGACAAGCTTGTGCGAAAGTAAAGGATGTCATGAGAGCAACGGGCAGGGGTTGACGGATGATGAATGAAGACCTGGCCTGCCTAGGTAGGGCCAGGGAGAATCAGGTAGGTCAAGGCCAGAAAGCTGAGGGAGATTACCCAGCTGAAGGGACAGGTTGGGAGGGAAGAGAGGGTGGCTTGGGCCATGGGGGCAACACGTTTGAAGTCTCTGACTTGGGAAGAAGCTGAGCAAATTCCTTAAAAGTCCAGAAAGACCATGCATTGGTCTCCTATTGCTGCTGGAACAAAATACCACAAACTCAGTGCCCTAAAGCAACACATGTTTATTTGACAGTTCTTATTATAAATGTGAATAAATGCACATTTATTCAGAATATCACAAGCTCAGTGCTTTAAAACAACACACATTTATCCTCTTGCAGTTCTCTTATGGGTAAGAGTCTACAGTGGTCCCCAGGGCTGCGTTGCTTCTAGAGGGTCTGGGGCAAATTGTTCCCTTGTCTTTTCCAGCTTCTAGGGCACATCACCGCTCCCATCTTATGGCGCCATCAGCTTGTCGAGAGCCAGCAGTGTAGCCTTCCTTCCTCTCTGTCTCCCCTTACAAGGATCCTTGTGACCACACTGCGCTCCCTGGATAAGCCAAGATAACCCCTTTCTCAAGATCCTTAATTTAATCACACCTATAAAATTCCTTCTGAATCTTAACTAACATAGTCACAGATTCCAGAATGAGGATATGGACATTCTAGAAGGGACGAGGAGAGAAGAGTTCTGTGCACTTGACACCTGCTCAGTCACTGACCCCTCCCCCCACCCCCAATGAATCTGGTCCTTTCCAGGCAGCTGGGATGGTCAAGGGGCAGGGGCAGGGGGAATCCGATGAGGGCCACAGACTGTGACTGCCCTCACCTGGTCAGCACTGCTTCACCTTCCATCCACACGTATTAAAAAGTCACTGTGAATGTGAGAGTGACTAGAAACTCTTGAGCAGGAGTATTGTTTTCAAGGTCCACGATGCAACCAGTTACACAAGATGGGGTGCACAACCAATAGCAGAGGCTCCAGTTGACCAGGGCGGAGGCTCTCCCCAGCTGTTCCCAAAGCAATATCAAGCAGGTGAGAGTCTATTTCCTACAGTCCTGCTTCAACCCAACCAGTGGTTCTCAAACCCAACCAGTGAGCCACATTAGCTTCACCTGGGGGGCTTGTTGAAACACAGATGCTAGGCCCATCCCCTGAGCTTCGGAATTAGAAGGTCTCAGGTGGGGCTGACAAGCTGGAATTTTAATGAGTTCCCATGGGAAGCTGGTGCTGCTGGCCTGGGGACTGAACTTTGGCAACCACGCCACTAGGCTGAGCTAGTCTAATTCTTTTTTGTTTTTTAATTAATTTATTTTTGTTGATACGTAATAGTTGTACATACTTTTGAGATACATGTGACCATATGATACATTTGACCATATGATACATGTGACCATATGATACATTTATATAATCAAATCAGAATAATTGGGATATCCACCACCTTAAATATTTCTTTTCTTTACACTAGGAACATTCCAATTATTCTCTTCTAGCTATTTTGAAACGTACACCAGGTCAGGCGCGGTGGCTCACGCCTGTAATCCCAGCACTTTGGGAGGCCGAGATGGGTGGATCATGAGGTCTAGATCGAGACCATCCTGGCTAACATGGTGAAACCCCGTCTCTACCAAAAATACAAAAAAAAAAAAATTAGCTGAGCGTGGTGGCGGGCGCCTCTAGTCCCAGCTACTCGGGAGGCTGAGGCAGGAGAATGGCATGAACCCAGGAGGTGGTGCTTGCAGTGAGCCGAGATCACGCTACTGCACTCCAGCCTGGGTGACACAGTGAGACTCTGTCTCAAAAAAAAAAAAAAAAAAAAAAAAAAGAAATGTACACCTAATGTTAACTATAGTATCCACACTGATCTATCAAACTCCAGTTCTTATTTCTTTTAAGTGTATATTTGTATCCATCAGCCAACCTCTATTCACCCATCCCCCTCACCCAACTCTTTCCCCTCTCTGGTAACCACCACCTTATTCTCTATCATCATGATATCCACTTTTTAAGCTCCCATGTATAACGCATGAGAACATGCGTTATTTGTCTTTCTGTGCTTGGATTATTTTACATAATGACATTATTTTACGTATGATTATTTGAACATAATGACCTCCAGTTCCATCCATATTGCTGAAAATGACAACATTTCATTTTTAATGGCTGAATATTTCATTGCATAGCTATATGTACTACATTTTCTTTATCCATTAATACATTCATGGACACTTAAGTTGATTTCATGTTTTGGATATTGTAAATAGTACTGCAATAAACATGGTCGTGCAGGCATCTCTTGGATATACTGATTTTCTTTCTTTTGGATATATGCCCAGTAGTGGGGTTGCTGGATCATATGGTAGTTTTAGATTTTGGAGAACCTCAATGCAGTTTCTATATGGGCTTTACTAATTAATTTACATTTCCATCAACAAGGTACAAGAGTTCTCCTTTCTCCATATACTCATGGGCATCTGTTATTTCTTGTCATTTTGATAAAAGCCATTCTAACTGGGATAAGATGACATGTCATTGTGGTTCTGATTTGCATTTCTCTGATGATTAGTGATATTGAGCATTTTTTCATATGTCTGTTGGCCATTTTTATGCCATCTTTTGAGAACTTTTGCTCATTTAAAAATTGGATTGGATCATTTGATTTTTTCCCATTGACTTGTTTGAGCTCCTTGCATATTCTAGTTATTAATGCCTTGTCAGATGGATAGCTTGTAAAAATGTTCTCCCATTCTGTGGGTTATCTCTTCACTTTGATTGTTTCTGTTGCTGTGCAGAAGAAGCTTTTTAGCTTGATGTAATCCCATTTGTCTATTTTTCCTTTGGTTGCCTACGCTTTTGAGGGCTTGCAGAAAATATCTCCGCCACAGCCAATGTTCTGGAGCATTTTTTCAAGTTTTTCTCCTGGTTTCATAATTTCAGGTCTTAGCCTTACACAAAATATGTTTGCCCCAGTCAATGTTTTGGAGTATTTTTTCAAGTTTTTCTTCTGGCTTCATAATTTCAGGTCTTAGATTTAAGACTTTAAACCACTTTGCTTTTTTTTTTTTTTTTCTTTTTTGAGATGGAGTCTTGCCTTGTTGCCAGGCTGGAGAGTGCAGTGGTGTGATCTTGGCTCACTGCAACCTCCACCTCCGGGGTTCAAGCAGTTCTCCTGCCTCAGCCTCTTGAGTAGCTGGGACTACAGGCACATGCTGCCACGCCCAGCTAATTTTTGTATTTTTAGTAGAGACTGGGTTTCACCATGTTGGCCAGGATGGTCTCAATCTTCTGACCGCATGATCTGCCCACCTCAGCCTCACAAAGTGATGGGATTATAGGCATAAGCCACTGCACCGGCCCAAGACTTTAAACCACTTTGACTTGATTTTTGTATATAGTGAAAGATAGGGATCGACTTCCATTCTGCACATGGGTATCCAGATTTTCCAGCACCATTGATAGATGAGACTGTCATTTCCCAGTTGTATACGGGCTTACTGCCTTTGTCAAAAATGAGTTGGCTGCAAATGTGTGAATTTATATCTGAATCTGCTATTCTGTTTCATTGGTTTATATGTCTATTTTTATGCCAGTACCATGCTGATTGGGTTACTATAGGTTTGTAGTATATTTGGAAGTCAGGTAGTGTGATGCCTTTAGCTTTGTTCTTTTTGGTCAGGATGGCTTTGGCTATTCAGGGTCTGCTGAGGTTCCATCTAAAAATTTGGGAATTATTTTTGCTATTTCTGTGAAGAACGTCATTGGTATTTTGATAGGAATTGCACTGAATTTGTAAATTGCTTTGGGTAGCATTTTCATTTTAACGATATTAATTCTTCCTATCTATGAGCATAAAATACCCTTCCATTTTTTCTTGTATCCTCTTCAATTTCTTTCACCAATGTTTTATAGTTTTCCTTGTATTAATCTTTCACATCTGTGGTTAAATAAATTCCTAGGTGTTTTATATTCTTTGTAGCTATTGATAATGGAAGGGATTTCTTGATTTCTTTAACAACCTTTAAGATTGTTTGCTGTTGGCATATATGAGTGCTATTGCCTTTTGTACGTTGACTTTGTATCCTACAATTTTACTGAAACAGACTTTTTGTTAAAGTCTTTAGGTTTTTATAAATATAAGATCATGTCATCTGTGTACAAGGTTAATTTGACTTCTTCCTTTCCAACTAGGATGTCCTTTATTTCTTTCTCTTGCCTTATTGCTCTGCCCAGGACTTCCGGTATTATGTTGAAAAAAAGTGGTGAAAGTGAGCATCCCAGTCTTGTTCCAGATTTCAGAAGAAAGGCTTTCAATTTTTCCTCATTCAGTATGATGTTGGCTGTGGGTCTGTCAAAAATGCCCTTCATTATTTTGAATTGTGTTCCTCTATACCCACTTTGTGGAAAGCTTTTATCATAAAGAGTTGTTGGATTTTATTGAATGATTTTTCAGCATCTATTGAAATGATCATATCATTTCGGTTCTTGGTTCTGCTAACATGATAAATCACATTTATTTATTGTCATATGTTGAACCATCCTTGCACCACTGAGATGAGTCTTACTTGATGAGTGTAAATGACCTTTTTAATGTGTTACTGATTTTGGATAGCTAGTATTTTTAGAGGATGTTTGCATGTGTGTTGATCAGGGATACTGGCCTGTAGTTTTCTTTTTTGGTTGTATCCTTGTCTGGTTTTGGTATCAGAGTAATGCTGGCAGATCGTGTGTTTCTATTTTATTTGTAAAATTTCTTTGGAATAACAGATTGTGCAGTGAAAATAAACATAGTAAACATTAGACCTGATGCTCTGGACCCCAGCTCTCACACAAGCCTCTGACTGTGGAATTTTATTACAAAGCATTAAAATAAACAGCACTTTGGCAGGGACTAGGACAAATGTTGGGTGAAATGAGACAGAAGGAGGCCGATGACCCCAGGTCCCAAATGAGTAGAAAGGAGGCTTTTATCAGCTGGGAGCTATGGGAGAACCCCAGGCCCAGTGGGCATTGCTGCAATGACCTCATGGTATGTATGTGTGTATGTGTGTGACCACCTAGAAAGTCACAGCTCTCCAGGATGAGCTGGCCACATAGCAGAGAAAAGTAAAACCCCCATATCCCTGGTAGGACAAATCTCCCATGAGTTCAGCAAGAAGACTTGGGATCTGTGGACAGGAGGGCACTTGGTAAAATCCTTCATTTGAGGTTGATGTGAAAAGTTGAACTCAAGATCCTGAGGCCTTATGTCCTTCCCACTCCCCCACAGGGCTCCTGCTGAGCCAGCCCTGACTCCCAGATGCAAGAGCCCAGGGAGGAGTTGGGAGAGAGGAAAACCTGCTGGGACCTCAGGGCATGGAAGGAGCCCTGGACCTTTCTCCCAGTGATGCCTCCCCTACTGTCAAGTTCCTCTGGCCCTGGAGCTTCCAGGGACCCCTGCATCCTTTCCTTCCTGCAGCCCTGCCTTTGCCAAAGCTCCATGCATTTGCCTCCAAGTGGGTCCCCAACCCCAGGCTCTGGGAGCTGTGAAGAGGCTCAGGGTTCCTGCTGTCTGCAGGAGGAAACCTTGCTCTAAATGGGCCTGTGTGGGTTCTGGGATCCCTTCCTGCACAGGGCCACCTGCAGGTCCCACAGATGTATCTTCCCTAGAAGAGCCAGTGGGGATGGGCGAGGACCCCTAACCTGCTCCCAAACCCCACATCCAAAGGAGAGAGAGGGATCACCTGAAGCACAGACCAGGGGTTGGGTCCTGGCCCCACTGTCTCCTCCTGATCCCAGAGGCCAGGGGTGTGGCCACAGGCACTCCACCAACTCCTCCTGCACCCCCAACCCAAGCTGAACAAACTCCTCCAGACTCCCTGGCCCACCCCAACTTAAAGAAATTAGGAGAATTCTCCAAGGGGGAGAAGACACCAGCTGCCTCTGCAGTGCTGTGCCCAGGAGGAAGATGATCACTGTTCAAACTGCCCTGGCAAGTTGTTTCAAAGAAATAAAGCCCTTGGATTCTCAGTGTTTTGAATCGCATTGCACTTAATAAACATTAGTTTTACTAATGTTTTCCACTTACCTGTCTGTTTATATTCAGCAGTGAGAGTTCTTCATCTTCAACAAAAAGTGATTAAAGGACATAGGACATCTGTCATTTTCCCCATGGATTATTAAGATCACTCTGCACATTTCATCTTGCACAGTCATTTTTTTCTGACCTGGGCTGCAGTGCTGAGCCACGTGTACTGTGTTGGGTTCATTTTCCAGATTCTTTGCTTTTTGTTTGTCTTTGTCAGTAGCACCGAGAATAGTAGATGGCACATCCCAGGCACTCAGTAAAGGTTTTTGAATGAATCAAGGGGAAAGGAGGGAGAGGAAGGCACTGCGTGTTGGGGGGTCCAATGTGCCAGAATATTCCTTGAAAACTTGACCCAGAGTCTCCCCTCCAGGGCCTCGTGATGCTCCTCAGCACTGGACGTGGCAGGATTTTTCTGACCAAGAATCAATGTGCACCTTCTCCTTCCACAGGGAGGTGCTGGGCAGGCTGATGGGCCCTGGTTTGACTTCCATGCCCCAAGACATTCTTCTGGCTTGCAGGAGGAGATTTGGGGTCTCTTGGATGACAGGGACTCTGGGCCCGACACCGTTCTGCCTCATTCCCTCCTGAAAAGCCTAATCCTCCCTGTTCCACGAGGCTGTGATGAGTGAGGAGACAGAAATGCACAATTTTCAGAGAGCATCCCTTCCCCTGGCCACACGCCAAGCCTGCTTCCCTCTGACCTGTCCCTTGTCTTTGCATTCAGGATGGACACTCACCACCTACTCTCCCTCCCCAGGACTCCTCACTGGCCTGACTCTGTGCTCCTGGGGCACGGTGGGGCAGCCCCTGGAACCTCATGCAGACCAGGGCACACAAACGGCCTTGGGAACTCACAGTGTCATATCCAGGCCCCAGTCCCCCCAGGGTCTCAGACACAAGTCTGCAGCCGTTCAGGGACATGGCTCTGTGAGAGCCAGAGAACCTGGCCCCTGCCCTGCTGCCACTTCCCTCCTTCTCCCTTATTCCAGCCTCAGAAGCTCCTCTGGCCACTCACTCCCTGACTTGGCTTTGCTCTTTCCCTTAGTTCCTCTGGCTCTGTCCAGCCTGCAACAAGTCCCAAGAACGTCCCCTACTCCCAGGGTGCTACGAGCACCTCCCTAGCATCAACTCTCTGCTCTGAGGGTGACCCTCTCCTCAGATCCTTATTAGAGGAAAAAAGGAGCAGCCCCTGGTAGGGCAAGAAGTGATCTGACTCAGACAGAAAACAGACTTATCGCATCCCAGGTGCAGCTTGTCAGCTTTCAGGCTGGGCCAGGGGAGCTTGGAAAGGGAAGGCCCCTGCCCGGGAACCTCTCCCAGGGATTCCCATCAGCCTGGAATCCCTAGGAGAACCAGAGGAGTCAGGTCTTCCTCTGCAAGCCAGGCAAGGTCAGTCACCCTGCAACAGTCCCAGGTGCCTCTTTAGGTCCACAGCAGCAGCTGAGGAGCTCCCTGCTTTGTGCCTTGCTATGTTCACCAGAATACCTCAGTAGAACTTGGGGAGAATTCCTTCATTACTGCTGATGACAGGGAAAGGGTCTTCAAGCATCATGGCCATGTTCCAAGCTCCAGGAGAGATGGGCTGATATTCCTGAGATGCAGAGTGTGGGCTGCCCTGACCCTTTCCAGGCGCCTCTGGCCCAGCCTTAGAGCTGAAAAGGCTGCACCTGGAGAGGAAAACAGAAGCTCAGAAATATTCTAGAGACCCTGAGCAAGGGCCTGGGGGAAACTTTGAGATCCCAGTGGGGATTCCATGAGTGGAGAAGGGGTCAGGTGGTTCCTTGAGATGAACTGCGAAGGCTGCTCTGACCTGGGCAGCAGACAAGCACCTTGAGAAGAACAGGCGACAGGATATGGTAGAAAAGCCCCCAAGTGCAGGATTCTCACCAGGGTCCTGGGGGTGGTGCAAGACTCCCTGAATTGGGTAGGAAGGAAAAGGCTGTCAATCAGTTCTTTGTAACATTTAGGTTATTGAACCCCTTGGGGGATCCTCTGAGCCCTCACCTGAGGGATCTGCCAATCATTTGCGGCCTGAACATGGGCAGATTCCTCTCCCTGGCCGAGTCTCAGGGTCACCAGGTTAAAAATGCGGGAAAGAGCAACATACCTTAGGTTCACTGGGAGGGAGAGGTGAGGTCTCTGTGAGGGAGAGCTGGGTGAAAAGTACTCAGCCCCTGCTGTGTCTCGTGGATGCTCAGTCAACAGAGATGCTCACGACCATCCTTGGTGCTGAGCTCACCCTCAGCCTCAGGTTCACAAAGCAAGGGGCTGGGAAGTAGAAGCCTCACTGAGTACATTTCAGTTTAACTTGATTGCACACATAAGGCATTGATAGTGAGGTCAGAAATGTGGAGAGAAAACATTTCCAGAAAGATTCCGAGATGGAGAACATCCTTCGAAGAACTCCAGCTTTGGTGGGCCAGTGGCATCTCAGAGCTGTTTGGGTGTCATAAAAAATGGGAGAGAAAGGCCTGGAGGATTCTCTGGGGTGGGGGAGGCTCTTGCTACTTTGTATCCCAAAACATCAGAAGAATCACGGTGTGATTCTGCCCAGGATGGGAGCCACCCCTAAGCTTACAAAGCTTGCAGCGTGATACGGAGCTCTGGGTTTTGTGGGGAAATGTACTAGGATGTGTGCACTGTGCTTAAAGAGAGAAAAACTGAGTTCTCTTATTTTCTTTGTTTCTCTTTTTTTTTTTTTTGGGACAAGGTCTCACTCTGTTGGGTTTCCCTCTGTTGAGACAAGGTCTCAAGGCTGGAGTGCAGCAGCACGATCATGGCTCACTGCAGTACTGACCTCCTGGGCTCAGGGAATCCTCCCATCTCTGCTTATGGGGTCACTGGGAATACAGGTGCACATGACCATGTCTAGGTAGATTTTTTTTTTTTTACAGAGACAGTGTTTCACCATGTTACCCAGGCAGGTCTCAAACTCCTGGACTCCAGTGACCACCGTGCCTGGCCTGAGTTTTCTTCATATGCCTAATGTTGTTGTTCTGATCAGAATCTCTATGTTCAATATTAGGGACAAGAGAGGACTTTAAGGATGAGAAAACATTAATGATCAAAATATACCTGGAAAGGGGCCGATGGGATTGATGAGGATGAAGGGCCCTGGGAAATGCCTGGACCTGAGGGTTGCTGGGAAATGTTCCACTGTGGGAAGATCCCTGAGTCTAAAGGAAAGATTTCCAGACCATAGCGCCATGACAGGGAGACACGGACCCTTGTGCATTTCTCCCCCATGTCCTGCAGAGCCCACAGCTTCCACCCTCTGTGGCTTCCAGCTTGGGGGAGTCTCCCTTCTTAGGCCTGGCCACTGTGCTTCTGTCTGGCCTCTGTCCCAGCTCACATTCTCAGATTCAATCTCCCGAAGCTGGTTTTCTGAGGGGTGCCCATCATTTTTGTGAGTAAACACGCTTTACCTTCTAGAGGTGACCAAGACTGTATCTCGTCCCATGCCCTCAAAGGCAATATTGTGTTTTGAGTCTACAGTGTCTCTTTTGTAATTATTTCCTTTTCAGTTTTTGAATTCAATCTAAATGGAGTCTTTCAATCCTTCCGTCTCCTCTCCCACAAAATACCCACCATGTTTTATGCTGTCTTGGTTCCTTCCCAGGGTCCCATTAGAACACCCGGTCCCATCCTGCCCAGCCCCCACCTCACTTTGTAATTTTGGTTTAATTTCCTCCGGAGAAGCCTGAACCTTCGTCTTGAGATCAATCACACCCTCAGTGGTTCCCCTCTGCCACCTGAATGGGCATATGATCTACCATGTTAGAAAGCGTAAATCCCAGCTGACCACTGGATACGCAGAGATATTTATTCTGCTTTCTTAGGGATGAAATTACTGTCTTCTTAGAGCTGTTTTAGCTCTGAGACATTTTGATAATGTTTATGTGGCCAAAGATCCCCCAGCAAAGATACCTTCAGGTTTTGTTTTTTCTGTCAAATGCCAGAAACAGATTCAACCCTTTCCTGCATCACTATGAAGCTCTCATGTCAGTCAAACTCCATCAGTGTTTGTGGAATAAAGGAATGAATGAGTTGTGGACTTTCACCCTATTATTTATATCTTTCACTTTCATAAACGTATATCTGATCCAATCAATTAATCAGAAGAAAGTCGCAAACTCAATCAGGATTAACTGGGTGGAACTTCAGAATCTAATCAGACATCATTTTCTGATTGGAAGTTGGTTGTTGAGATGGGGAGGGTGTGGTTAGAAAGGTCCATAAAAGCTCCCGAAGGTGCACAGGAGAGAATCCAAGGCGCTGACACCTGGAGCTACTGCTCGGTTCTCTGAGAGGTTGCAGCACCCTGCAAACTGAGTCCAGATCTGGTAAGTCACCACCTCCTTAGGGTCATGCCCATCTGATCTGCAGCCAGCCAGCCAGTCAGGGATGGTGACATGCAGCCCAAGGTGGCAGAGAGAATTTTCTTGTCTGTTTTCAGAAGAACAAATTTAGGCTTTGATTTTTCCTCTAAATGTAGTTTTGTCTTCATCCCCCAAAATTGGATTTGTGCTTGGTTTTTGTCATTTCAAAATTCTTATTGAAGCAGTTTTTTTTTTAACAAGAGATATTAAAAAGTTACAACTGGTTGAATTTTTATTTCGTGACATTTGAAATAATTGGTTTTTGTGCCCTTAAATTATAGTTCATAGACTTGGTGGCATCGTGATTTTACATGTTAGGCCTTAGTTTTTACTAATACCTTAAAGATATTCCATAGGCCATTCTCAAGAGTGGAGTCTTTGTTCTGAACATGGGACCCATTTTTTTCCCCTAGATTCCATCCCAAAGTGGGTCATTGTGAGTCTGTGTAAGAGATCAACATTGGAACCTTCATCTGAGAGTTAGTGTTTTTATCCCTAACTTTCACAGGCTCTAGAACACTGTCATGCTGTTTTTACAATTTCTTGTTACAATTTTTCAAAATAAAAAATAATGGCGCTGATTCCAAGGAGTCCCTTTAGTCTTCTGCAAGCATGTCAATTGTGGGAACTGAGAATGTAGGCTGTGTGGGGCCACAGGACATTCTCGTTCCCATTGTTTTAGGGTGGTAAGTGACAAGAAATATTTTCTCAAAAAGGTGGAGCTTAGCTTTCAGGATCCTCAGCAACGCTTCCCAGTGTTACTGAGATTTAGTGCAGCAATGGTTGAAAATGAATGGGCCAGTGGTTACCTTGCCCTCTCCTCATTGTTTGGAAGACATTCTTTATGGTACCAGCAAGGGCAGAATTACAGATTTGTGTCCAGAAAGTGCAGAGTGGAATTGGGGTGAACTAATTACCTTTCCACCTCTACCAGAGCAATGACATTGGCACTAGGAGATGATGAAGTGATGTGATTTGCCGTAAGAATGATGTTTTTTTCTCTAGATTCATCAGGATGAGCCTCCAGGCCCCACCTAGACTCCTGGAGCTGGCTGAGCAGAGTCTGCTGAGAGACCGGGCCTTGGCCATCCCCACCCTGGAGGAGCTGCCCAGGGAGCTCTTTCCCCCACTGTTCATGGAGGCCTTTACCAGGAGATGCTGCGAGACCCTGACAACTATGGTGCAGGCCTGGCCCTTCACCTGCCTTCCTCTAGGGTCCCTGATGAAGTCATGTAATCTAGAGATCTTTCGAGCTGTGCTGGAGGGGCTTGATGCACTGCTTGCCCAGAAGGTTCGCCCCAGGTGAGGTGACCCAGCTAACCAGGTGGGGAGGGCTCAGGCATCCAGGGTAGGGTTAGCTGGGTCAGAAGGAGTGGGAGGCCCAAGGGTGGCCCAGAGACTTCTGATGGGGCTGGGGAGGAAGCTCAGAGAGGCCTTGGCCATTGTCCAGCTCCTCTGGGAAAGGACTGCTCACCATGCAGGGTCCACTGAAGGATCAGGAACCTGCCTCCTGCCAGTGGCAATTGAAGACACTAGCAGTGGGGACCAGGCAGGTTTCAAGGAGAAAGAGGGATGGAGAAAAGACAGAGAGTGGGAGAAGCAGCAGGGAGGAGAGTCGCTGATGTCCGGGATGTGGATAAAAGCTCAAATCCTTCCTAAATTTGGAGCCTCTCTTCTCTTTTACCCACAGGCGGTGGAAACTTCAAGTGTTGGACTTGCGGAATGTGGATGAGAACTTCTGGGGCATATGGTCTGGAGCTTCTGCACTCTCCCCAGAGGCCCTGAGTAAGAGACGAACAGCAGGGAACTGTCCAAGGCCGGGTGGGCAGCAGCCCTTGATGGTGATCCTAGACCTTTGCTTCAAGAATGGGACGCTGGATGAATGCCTCACCCACTTCTTAGAGTGGGGCAAGCAGAGAAAAGGCTTACTGCACGTGTGTTGCAAGGAGCTGCAGATTTTTGGAATAGCCATCCACAGGATCATAGAGGTCCTGAACACGGTGGAGCTAGACTGTATCCAGGAGGTGGAAGTGTGCTGCCCGTGGGAGCTGTCCATTCTTATAAGGTTCGCCCCTTACCTGGGCCAGATGAGGAATCTCCGCAAACTTGTTCTCTTCAACATCCATGTCTCTGCCTGCATTCCCCTAGACAGGAAGGAGCAGTTTGTCATCCAGTTCACCTCTCAGTTCCTCAAGCTGGACTACTTCCAGAAGCTTTACATGCACTCTGTCTCTTTCCTCGAAGGCCACCTGGACCAGCTGCTCAGGTGAGGAAGTATGGTGAGCTTTCTCTGCAGACCGCAGCAAAGACTTTCTTTATTACTGTAAACACCAGGGGGTATCTACTGTGAGCCAGCTTGTGAGGAGGTAACAGCGAAGGGGACACTAGAATGTCCATGCATTGTCCTGTTGGCAGCTCTGTCCTGAAATAGGTGTCACACATCCATCCCAATAAGCCAGCGGGATCTCCTGGGCTAGATGCTATAGAGAGGCTGCCATGCTAGGAAGGTACTGCAGGGTTTAGATCTAGTGAGGGTGCATTCGTGAATTCCTCCCGAGGATGTGTGTCTAAGTTAAGACGATGGGAAATGGGGAGTTGAAGAGGGCACTAAAGAAGAGAATGTCCATCACACCCCTCCATTTTAAAATATAAGGTCTGTCCTCACCTGCCTAGTGAACAGGTAAAATCCTGTGTCTCCCTCTGTCAGTAAAATGTTTTGAGCTCCAAAACATGATGGAATAGAGGGTGAGGGAGCAGGAGTGAAGAATGGTGAAAGTGATAGATGGTTTGCTGATGATACGGGCATGTCAGGGTCTCCTGCAGCCTGGCCACCCCAGCTGAGGTTGCAGGATCTTGCCTGGGTTTGTCATTTATGCCTGTGTCTCCATCGGGCTCCTGTGGCCCAGAGATGTGGTTTTCTACCTGACACATGAGGAAAGGGAGCATTAGAGTTCATGGACTTGACCCAGTCACCCGAGTGATGGTGAAGGACTGAGCCTCGATTGGGTCTGCCCTGAATGAGCAGAGTCTCCATTCCCACACCCCAGGTGCTGATTATCCTCAGATAAGCAGAACAGCCTTGGGTTGTGAAAAGTGTCATCTCTCACCTTGAGGTCTTCCCCACCACTCTCCTCTAACTCCTTCTTGTTCTCTCCCAGGTGTCTCCAGGCCCCCTTGGAGACAGTCGTAATGACCGAATGCCTGCTGTCAGAGTCGGACCTGAAGCATCTCTCTTGGTGCCCGAGCATCCGTCAGCTAAAAGAGCTAGACCTGAGGGGCATCACACTGACCCATTTCAGTCCTGAGCCCCTCTCAGTTCTGCTGGAGCAAGCTGAGGCCACCCTGCAGACCCTGGACTTAGAGGACTGTGGGATCGTGGATTCCCAACTCAGCGCCATCCTGCCTGCCCTGAGCCGCTGCTCCCAGCTCAGCACCTTCAGCTTCTGTGGGAACCTCATCTCCATGGCCGCCCTGGAGAACCTGCTGCGCCACACCGTCGGGCTGAGCAAGCTAAGCCTGGAGCTGTATCCTGCCCCTCTGGAGAGTTATGATGCCCAGGGTGCTCTCTGCTGGGGAAGATTTTCTCAACTTGGGGCTGAGCTGATGAAGACACTGAGGGACTTAAGGCAGCCCAAGATAATTGTGTTCAGCACTGTCCCCTGCCCTCGCTGTGGCATCAGGGCCTCCTATGACCTGGAGCCCAGTCACTGTCTGTTGAATGCCTGCTGTCAGGGTGGATTTATTTAAAGCTTTCTTCTGGTCATTTGGCAACTGAATCCTAGGCCATGAGTGTATGTCAAAGGGAGCACAGACCCATCGTTTCATATGCCTGCTCAATGTGAACCGGAAAGGAAAGGGGATGCAGGAAGGGAGGGACTGGGGGAAAAGTTGAGTTGGAGTCAATAGGAGCTTTAGAGACCTGTGTCCCAGAGAATCAGAAATGGGAATCTGAATTGCTAGAATGAGAATCAGGTAGGAGAGACACATGAGACAGTTACCCCTGCACGGATGGTTGTAAAGAAACAGTCAGAAATAAAGGGAAGCTGAGTGGAAACTGTCTGGTGTCCTCCATGATTGCTTCACCTGGCTTAACAATTTTAACCTAAGGAATCTCAAGTTACTCATGGGGGACAAAAGGCACTAAGTTCTCTAAAATTAATGAGGTTCAGCCCAAGGAAATAAAGGCATCAAAGTGGAATGTGATCGTTTTGCTCAATTCCTTTTTTTTTAATTTCTCTCTGGGCATGTGTCTATTTAGTGGGTTAATACACGTGAGATGCACTTACGGGGCCTGGACCATTCTAGGTGGGCAGTGAGGGTCAGTCACTGAAGTTCAGCCCCTTCTTCGCAGGGCCCTCACTTTTGTCCAGATGCTTAGACCCTGTTTACTCCTGATGGGTGGATTCAGAACGCTCAGTTGCTGACCATTACCTGTGCTGGGAAAGGATTTCACTGCACAAGGTGTGGCCTCTGCCCTGGAAGGGGAGCTCCACACTGTATGAGCAGGAGCCTCAGGGCATCACCAACCCATGCTTGTTCTCATGGAGGGTAGTGACCCTTGCAATATTAAAATAGTTGTGGCCAATAAAGACATCCAAATTCCCTTTTTGGGAAAATGCTTAAATTATGCAGGCATATAGTACATTTTAAACATTTCTAGCCCACATTTAACAAACATTTTATCCTTTTGGGGAGCTAGGTCATATTGATGAGATTTTCCCATAACACTTGCCTTCTCTCCCTCTCAAGGAAGACTAGTGCAGTGTGTTTGGGTATCACACGTCATCAGAGGGTGGATAATGATCAAGTGCCTGTGGGTGATGAGTGACCTTCGCTGTGCTGAGGGACCCTACACAAAAGGCTCCCGAGTGTGGGACCCTGCTGAGGACACAGGGGCTGGTGCTGTTGGGCAGGAAGCTGAGGAAAGAGCCTCAATTTTCCTGTAGAATGAGAAGGATTATGCCCACCAGCCTGTGGGACCCTCTTAGGACACAGTGAGATGGTACATGGTTATGACTTGGAATGGGGCCTTTCATACAGTAAAAGCTTAATACATGCATCCTGTCTTTCTTTTTTCCTCCTAATAAAAGTCTCAGCATTCTTCATCCTTCAATCTCACCTCCTATTCCTCATAACAGGGAGGCAGTAGGGACCCAGGGCATGCAATGGGACTCAGCTTCTACACGCCGCCACCGCTTAATCATGATTCCTGTAAACAGCAGGACCTCAACAACCAGCAAAGAACGGGGTGGGCAGTGCAGGACTGAATTCATCTCTAGTGATCATGAGATAAAAATTTCCAAACCACGGGACTCATGTGCCATCTGCTGTAATTTAGTTAGACCGTCTGGTGTAATTTAGTGATGAAAGCAGGAGTATATTAAGTGGTACTTCCAAAAATCTGCTATTATGTAAATGTTTATGGAGTGTCACTATTCATTTGTTGGCTATTCTAAATAATTGGCCATGTTGCCCCAATACCCCTTAAAGTCAGAGGTAATCCAAAGACTTTCCCCAATTGGAGAAGATTTAATAGAACAAGGACTTACAATTCCTTGTCCCAATCCATGTAACCCTTCCATCCTGCCAGATATAAAACCTAACTGACAAGGTTAATGATTTGTGCAAGACTTACATGCAATAAAGAAAATTGTAATAGTGAGATATACTGTGGCTTCACATGAAATATCTTGTTATGTAAGGTGACTACAGACTCTAAATGGTACCCAGTGAGAGATTTCTCCTCTGCCTTCCTTAGGATTCCTGTTGATGAGGAGAGCCAATACTTGTTGGCCTTTACTTGAAAAATTCAGCAACACGCCTGGGTTGTAACGCCACAGGGGTTCACTGGAGTCCCATCATAGTTCTCGCAGGGATAACACCAGGACCTGTTAACCTTACCATTCCCTAGAAATTCCACTCTCATTCAATATGCAGTAGGTGTGCAGTTATGTTCTCTTACCAAGGGACACTCTAATAGATTCCATTTATCTTTTAGAGCAGTAAGCTTACAAGGGCCCTAAGACCTCCATGAAAACTTTTCCATTCTCTAGAGAAAAGGTCCTTACTTAGGACATAATCCAAGTGCAGGGAAAGCTTCCATCTCATCTGAAATAATAAAGACAATCCACGGTTTCCCTAGTCCCGTAACAATGAGGAGGTGCCCTCTTACATGTGAGACATTGTAGCTGTTGGTTCCCAAATTTCTCTCTGCTGGCATCATTCTTATAATGAACTCACAGAAAAACTTTGTCCCAGTGCGCCTGAGTGGGCAGGTGTAGGACTTGACACTGGGTGCAATGTTATACAATATTTTTTGCCTCTTTCCATGTGATATCAAATTTATTTTTTAGTCCTGTTGCATTTACATGAGTCAAAGCATGAAGTTCTTGTGCTTCTATGAATGCAGATGATGCTAGCAAGTCAGCTTGTTCATTTGCTTTAGTTAAAGGCCTTGGTAAATTAGTACGTGCTCAGATATGAGTAATATAAAATGGGAAATTTCTTTTTCTTACAATTTGTTGTAACAAATTAAAGGGCTTGTTTAACTGATCATCCATACTATATTTGATTAGGGCTGTCTCAACATCCTTTGTAGCTGTGCTACATATGCAGAATCTGATTTTCAATGACTCGTTCTTTCGGCCTGGTGTGAACCACTTTTCCATTGCTGGAACCATCAGTAAACACCATCAGAGCATTTTCTAAAGGTTTATGTCTGGTAATTTTAGGTAAAATTCAAGTAGTCAATTTTAAAAACTGGAAGATTTTTGTTTTTGGGTAATGCTTATCAGTAATTCTCACAAAATCAGCAAGACCAATCTGCCATGCAGCAGAATTGATAAAGCCTTGTCTAAACTCTTCCTTGTTTAAAGGAACAATGATTTTATCTGGGTCACTTCCACACAATTTTATTATTTGTAATCTTGCCTGACCAATTAATGTAGCCATTTGATCCAAGTACAATGTAAAAGTCTTAATCGTACTGTGAGGAAGGAAAGATCACTCCACAAGATCTGTATTTTGAACAATAATGCCTGTTGAGAATGTGCAGTAGCAAAAATCAAAAGTTGGAGTGGGGCGAAGTGATCTATTCTATTTACTTGTGCTGACCGAATTTTTTCTTCAATTAATTCAATTTCTTTAGTTGCCTCTGGAGTTAATGTTCTTTTACTATTCAATTCTGGATCCCCACTCAAGATAGAGAACAAATTTGACATGGCATAAGTAAGGATGCCTAGAGTTGGCCAAATCCAATTAATATCTCCTAGCAATTTATGAAAGTCGTTTAATGTTTTTAATGTGTCTTTTCTTATTTCTATTTTTTGTTGTTTAAATTTTCTTTCCTCTACCTGCATTCCCAAGTAATGGACAGGAGTAGAGGTTTGAATCTTATCAGATGCTATTGTCAGTCCTGCGTTTGCAACCTCTGTCTGCAGAAATGTGTAACAGTCAATTAATGTGTCTCTCGTTTCTGCAGCACACAAAAGATCATCAACATAATGAAAGACGTAGTCTGAAAACTTGTCTCTAACTGGTTGAAGAGCTTCAGCTACAAAAATCTGACAAATAGTTGGACTATTAAGCATTCCCTGGGCAACACTTTCCACTGAAACCTGGTGGCTGGTTCTTTATTATTTATGGCTGGTATAGTAAAAGCAAATTTTTCAAAATCCTGTTTTGCTAGAGGAATGGTAAAAAAGCAATCCTTCAGATCAATTATAATTAAAGGCCAATCTTTGGGGATCATGGCCAGAGAGGGCAACCCAGGTTGGAGAGCCCCCATAGGTTGAATTACAGCATTGACGGCTCTTAAGACGGTCAACATGTGCCATCTGCCGGATTTTTTCTGAGTTACAAACACAGGAGAATTCAAGGCGAAAATGAAGGCTCAATATGTCCCTTTGCTAATTGTTCTTTTGCCCGTAAGTGTAAAGCCTCCAGCTTTTGTTTTGGTAGCAGCCACTGATTTACCCATACAGGTTTTTCTGTTTTCCAAGTTAATGGAATGGGTTTTGGAGGCTCTACAGTGGCCACTCCTAAAAAGGATATCCTATTCTTTTTCTTTCTTGATTTCCCTCAGCCTCAATTGGGATTTTAATGCCATCTCCATTTTTCCCTAGTCCTTTGCCAGGGAGACATCCCATTTTAGTCATGATTTTTTGACTCGTGGGGCTGTATAAGGAGGCTGGGATAGTAATCTCTGCATGTCATTGTTGTAACAAGTCTCGGCCCAAAAAATTATTTGGAATAAAAGTAATCATAGGTTGAACTGTACTTTCTTGATTATCAGGTCCTAGACAATGTAAAATCATGGTGCTTTGATACACTTTTGAGGCGCTGCCCACACCGACAAGTCCTGTAACAGGCTTTTGTTTAGGCCAATTTTTTGGCCATTGATTTAAGGCGATAAGGGAAACATCAGCATCGGTATCCAATAATCCTATAAACTGCTTTCCCTGAATAGTGACTGTACACACAGGTCTATTCTCTGAGACATGACGAGCCCATTGAGTGGCTTTTCTGGCAGAGTTGGTACTTCCAAACCCTCTTGTCCTTTCCGTTTTGTTTTCCCAATTTTAATATAAGGCAAAAGCAATAATTGAGCAATTCTATTACCTGGATTGGCACTCCAGGGAACAGTGGAGCTGATCACTAACTGAATTTCCCCTTTATAATCTGAATCAATTACCCCAGTATGAATTTGGACTCCCTTCAAATTTAGACTTCATCTCCCTAAAATGAGGCCTACTGTCCCTCCTGGCAGTGGGCCATATACCCCTGTAGGAATCTTTTGCGGGGTCTCTCCAGGGAGTAAAGAAACCTTTTGAGTGGAACATAAATCTACTGCTGTGCTGCCTGCTGTGGCGGGGGACAGCTGTTGTATTGTTGTAATTGGCTGATTCCCTGAAGTGGTGGTATTTGCTGTGGGGGTTGCTGTCCCTGAAAACCCTGAAGAACAAACGGCTGAATCGGGAATGCCCCAGTTTGTTGTTGGGACTGAGGCTGGCCCCTCACCCCTTTTTCTGACAATAGTTGCCCATTTTTATCATATTTAGAACGACATTGATTAGCCCAATGTTTTCCTTTTCCATGTCTTGGACACAGGCCAGGTGGCTCTTTATTTTTACTCTGTTTATTTAAGACTGGGCAGTTCTTTTTTAGATGACCGATTTGACCACAATTATAACATTTCCCCCCAAATGCTCTAACTATCCTCCTAAAGTGACTCCGGTCATTGCTTGAGCCATTAGCATTGCCTTACGCATAGCTCCTCCAATCCCATCACAAGCTTTCACATATTCTGTAATTACATCAACTCCTGCTGGACCTTTTCCTTTTAATGGCTTTATGGCTGGTTGAAATTCTGGATTTGACTTTTGAAAAGCCATTATTTCTACAATAACTTTTTGGGCATTATCATCTGAAACAGATTTTTCAGAGGCATCTTGCAACCTTGCCACGAAGTCTGGATATGGCTCTTTACAGCCTTGTCTAATTGAATTAGAAGAAGGGCAAGCAGTGCCTGGGCAAGCGATGCCTGGGCAAGCGGTGCGTGGGGCACCCAGGTGCCTGGGTCCTGAATTTTTTCCCAGTCCCTGAGGCAAAGAGCCTTTAGATGTTCAATACCCTCATTCTGCATTACTGATTGTTGGCCAATTGTGCTCCAATTTGGACCTGTTCCTAGCAATTGATCTGCATCTATATTAACAGCGGGATAAATAGCCTGATTTTTTCATGCCTGTTCTTGTACTCCATCAATCCACCAGGTTTTAAATTGTAGGAACTGAGAGGGTGAAAGGGAAGATTTAGCCAACGTTTCCCAATCATAGGGAATAAGTCTATTTCCATGAGCAATGGAATCTAATAAAGTTCTCATATAAGGGGAGTTGGGTCCATATTGTTTAACTCCTTCCTTCATATCTTTTAACATTTTCATGGTGAAAGATTCATATCTAGCCTCAGTTTGGACAGACGCTCCAGCTTGCCCCCCTTTCCCAGCTGGTATTGGTTGTAAAATTACAAGGAACTGCCATGCCTCAAGATCTCCCTGTTTTCTGGCTTTATCAATGATTTCATGCAGTGTACTACCTTGTCCACTAGGTGGTGATGTAGGATTAAACACCACTGGGTTGCTGGTGAGGTGCCGTGCTATGTGGCACGGGACACACAGCTTGAGGTCTGTATTGAACCTCCGGAGACAGCCCATACTGAAGCTCAGCTGGCGGCCAGTATTGATAAACTACCGGTGGTTGGGTCTTATTTTCTACCAGCTGATATTGTGGATACTGTATCTGAATTGGCATTGCCGGGAT
The DNA here is from genome assembly GCF_000001405.40 of Homo sapiens. Taxonomy (NCBI): domain Eukaryota; kingdom Metazoa; phylum Chordata; class Mammalia; order Primates; family Hominidae; genus Homo; species Homo sapiens. Next base: position 12,784,169 of record NC_000001.11, read on the forward strand.
AGAGACTCTATCCTTTTCTACTTGATATTCTCTTGGGGTTTGCACTTGTCTAACCTGCATTTGAGGTTGTAATGTTACAGGCATCTGAACCACTGGAGGAGGAGTTGATGGCCATGGTGGTTTAGGCTCTGGTAGCCCCAATAATTCTGGACCTCCTTCCACCAGTTTTGATGATTCAGGATATACTACCTCCTGTAACTGATTGTAGTCAACATTTTGCGTTGACTGAGCCATTACAGACTCTGCTACATTTTTACAATGTGAACTTTCCATTAATTTCCGGGATTTTGTCTCTGCCTCTTCTTCACAATCTACTACACATCTTTCAGGGGCATCAGAAATTGAAAGGCTGTCTTTTTCTATTTGAAACGGTTCTAAAGTTGCTTTAATAATGGGCCAATCATTCCATACTGTAAGTGGGATGATTTTACCTTCCCTATTTGCTTGTTTTAATTCTTTGCCAATTTTCCCCCAATCTTTTAGATCTAAAGTTCCCTGTTTTGGAAACCATGGGCAGAATTGTTCTATTGTTTGAAATAACATAATTAGATTTTCTGTAGAAGCTCTAACTCCCCATCTTCTTAGAAGAATTTTAATGAAGCTGAGATAAGAGGCATATTTACCTTCAGTTTGTCCCATTGTTACCCTGAGTTCCACTGAGCGCACAAGCTTACCGCATGGCTGACCATGGAAGTACTTGGGAATCTCTCGTTGACTGTCTTCAATGCTCACGTTTTTAGTGTACCTTCACCCTAGAGAAAGGCCCATGTTGGGCGCCATATGAAGGGGGTCAGCCACTCCACACCTGTGGGTATTTCTCATCAGGCAGGACAAGAGACTGAGAAAAGAAATAAGACACAGAGACAAAGTATCGAGAAAGAAAAATGGGCCCAGGGGACTGGTGCTCAGCATGCGGAGGACCCACACCGCCACTGGTCTCTGAGTTCCCTCAGTATTTATTGATTACTATTTTCACTAACTCAGTAAGGGAAAAGTGGCAGGAGAGCAGGGTGATAGTGGGGAGAAAATCAGCAAGAAAACATGTGAGCAGAGGAATCTGTGTCACAAATAAGTTTAAGGGATGGTACTATGCCTGGATGTGCACATAGGCCAGATTTATGCTTTTCTCCACCCAAACATCTCAGTGGAGTAAAGAGTAACAAAGCAGCATTGCTGCCAACATGTCTCGCCTCCCACCACAGGCAGTTTTTCTCCTATCTCAGAATAGAACAAATGTATAATCAGGTTTTATACTGAGGCATTCAGTTCCCAGGGGCAGGCAGGAGACAGAAGCCTTCCTCTTAACTGCAAGAGGCCTTCCTCCTTTACTAATCCTCCTCAGCACAGACCCTTAATGGGTGTCAAGCTGGGTGGAAGGTCAGGTCTTTCCCATTCAATGAGGTCATATTTCAGACTATCACATGAGGAGAAACCTTGGACAATACCTGGCTTTCCAGGGCAGGGGTCCCTGAAGTTTTTCACAGTGTATTGCACCCCTGGTTACTTGAGAATGGAGAATGGTGATGACTTTTATCAAGCATACTGCCTGTAAACCTTTTGCTAGGAAAGCACATCCTGCACAGCCCTGGACCCCTTAAACCTTGATTCTATACAACACATGCTGCTGTGAGCTCAAAGTTGGGGCTAAAGTTACAGATTAACAGCATCTCAGGGCAAAGTCAGGGTACAGATCAAAATGATGTTTCTTATGTCTTCCTTTTCTACATAGACACAGTAACCGTCTGATCTCTCTTTCTTTTCCCTGCATACACTATTCTTCTTCTTTAGTCTGCTAGATATGGGAAGGGTGTTAAGAAGGGATCTCTCATCAATATGACCTGGCCCCCAAAAAGCATGCTTGATTTTTGAATGTGGTAAAGAAATATTTAAACCATGTTTTATGTCTATATGATTATTAGTATTTATATATTGTTTTGTTTTGTTTTGTTTTTGAGATGGAGTCTCACTCTGTCATGAGGCTGAAGTGTGGTGGCACAATCTCAGCTCACAGCAACCTACACCTCCTGAGTTCAAGCAATTCTCCTGCCTCAGCTGGGAGTACAGGCATGTGCCAACATGTCCAGCTAATTTTTGTATTTTTAGTAGAGACAGGGTTTCACCATGTTGGCTAGGATGGTCTCGATCTCTTGATCTTGTGATTCTCCTGCCTCAGCCTCTCAAAGTGCTACTATTATATGTATAAGCCAACACGCCTGGCCATATTTATATATTATAGGTAGTATTTTGCTAAAAGGGAATTTTGATATCTTTATAAGACACAACTAGTTTAATTAAGGAAGGAGCACTGCCCACCATGATGACAGGTATGGGTTGGTGATGCCCTGAAGCTCCAGGTAATCAATGATGTGAATGTCCCCTTCCAAAGCAGGGGCCATGCCTTGTGCAGTGAATCTCTGTCCCAGCACAGCTAATGGTCAGAAATGGATTCTTCTCAATCTGCCCATTAGGACTGAACAGGGTCTCAGCATCTGGTTAGCAGGGAGGGACCCTGAGAAGGGGCTTTACTTGAGTGACTCACACTCTTTGCCCACATAGAATGTTCCCGGCCCTGTGTGTGCATCTTGTGGGTATTCACCCACTGATCAGCCACAGAACAAAGCAAGTAGGTAATAGATTTATAAAGAGAAGTAAAGAACAGAAGGGAATTGATAAAAATGAGGAAATTTCATTTGGATGCCTGACTTCCTGGGGCAGGACCTCATTAAAAACACAGCTCGGTGCTTCTGATTTTCTCTTTTTCTTGTCTCTTTTTCCTGAGACGGAGTCTTGCTCTATTTCCCAGGCTGCAGTGTAGTGGCTCTATCTCAGCTCACTGAAACCTCTGCCTCCTGGCTTCAAGCGATTCTCCTACCTCAGCCTCCCAAATAGCTCGGACTACAAGTGCCTGCCACCATGCTCAGCTAATTTTTTTTTTGGCCCCGAGTCTCGCCCTGTCGTCCAGGTTGGAGTGAAGTGGCACGATCTGGAGATCTCAAGTACATGGACCGGGGAGGCTGCAGGAATTTGTTTATCTTGGGCTGGGGGTGCATGGGAAGTAGGTAGGGCTCCTGTGACCACAAACCCAAGGCCTCTGGGATCAGAAGGCAACAACAAGGGCCAGGACCTACCCCGGGGCCTGTGCTTGCAGGGACCCTGGCTCTCATTTGTATGTGGGGTGCCTGAGTGATTTCAGATTCCTCACCCATCCCCGTTGGCTCTTCTAGGGGAGATGCATCTATAACACCTGTAGGTGACCCTGTGTAGGAAAAGATTGCAGAACCCACACGGGCCCATGCTGAGTGAGGCTTTCTCCAGGTGGGCACAAAAACCCCTAGCTCCCCAGCCACTGCCAGAGCTTGGGGTTGGGGGCCCTACATGGAGGCAAATGCAGGGAGCATTGGCAAAGGCAGGGCTGAGTGAAAGGAGAAGAAGAGCACATGGAAAAGACACAGGGGTCTCTGACAGTTCCAGGGCCAGAGGCACTTGGGAGTGGGAGAGGCATGACTGGGAGATAGGTCCAGGGCTTTTTCTGAGCCCTGAGGCCCCAGCAGGTTTACTTCCCTCCGAAGATCTCTCTGGGCTATTGTGCCTGGGAGTCAAGGCTGGCTCCGCTGCAGCCCTGTGGGAAGGGCATAGATCCCTCAGGGTCTAAGGTTCAACTTTACTCTTATCCTCAAATGAGGGCTTTTACCCAGGGATCTCTTGTCCGCAGATCCCACGTCTTCTTGCTGGACTCCCAGAGGAAGTTGTCCTACCAGGGACATTGGATGTTTTACTTTTCTCTTCCATGGAACCATCTCTGTCAGGTAGAGTTGTGCCTTTCTAGGTGGCCGCACACACACACACACACACACACACACATACTTACCATGTGGCCATTGCAGTGATGCCCACTGGGCTTCGGGTTCTTCCATAGCACCCAGCTGAAAAAAGCCTCACCTAAGGCTAAGAAGAGACATGGCTTGGACAAAAAAATACTTACTGCATTCCAGGTGCATCTTTATCAGCTCTAAGGCTGGACCAGGGGAACCTGGGAAGGGATGGCCCCTGTGCTGGGACCTGTCGAAGGCTCTGTCATCATCCTGGCAGCCTTGGAAGACCAGAGGGGTCAGGTCTTCCTCTGCAAGCCAGGCAGTGTCACCACCCAGAAGTCCAGGGTGCCTCTTTAGGTCCAGAGCAGCAGCTGTGGAGTTTCCTGCTTTGTGCCTTGCCATGTTCACCAACATCACTCAATATAAATTGGGGAAAATTTCTTAATTACTGCTGGGTCTCTCTGCATTGTGGCCATGTTCTGAAGTCCAGGAGAGATGGGCTGATGGCCTTGGGATGCATAAAGTGACGCCGGCCCCATCAGCTCAGGCTGGGGGAGAAAACAGAGGCTCAGGAATATTCTAGAGAGCCTAAGCAAGGGCCTCATAGGAGCTTTGGAATCCCAGTGTGGATTCTGGGATTGGAGAATAGGTCAGGTCGTTTCCTGAGATGGGTTTTGAAGCTTGCTCTGAGCTTGGCAGCAGATGAGCACCTCGAGAAGACCTGGCGACAGAACATGGTAGAAAAGACCCCAAGTGCAGGATTCTCACTGGGGTCCTGGGGGTGCTACTGCACCCCTTGAAATGGGCAGGAAGAGGGAGTCAGTCAGCCAGTTCTTTCCAATATTTAGCTTATTGAACACCTTAGGCGTTCCACTGAGCCCCTCACCTGAGGGGTTTGCCAATCATTTGCTGCCAGAACATGGGCAGGTTTTTCTCTGGCCAAATCTCAGGTTTATCAGGTTAGAAATGGGGAAAATAGCAACGTGCCTTAGATTCTCCATGAAGAAGAGCTGAGGTCCGAGATGATCGGTACCAGCCATCTGTTGTGCCTCGTGGATGCTCAGTGAACACAGATTCTAACAACCATTATTGGTGCTGAGCTCACCCTCAGCCTCAGGTTTACAAAGTGGGGCATGGGAAGTAGAAGCCTCACTGGGCTCAGGTGATCCTCCCACCTCAACTTCTTGGGCAGCTTGGCCTACAGGTGCACACTGCCTCCCCCCAGCTAATATCTTGTATTTGTATTAGAGACAGGGTTTCATCACATTGCCCATATTCCTCACAAACTCCTGAGCTCTAGCACTCTGCCTTTCTTGGCTTCCCAAAGGGCTGGGATTAGAGGCCTGAGGTCTTTCTTTCTTTTCCTTCCTTCCTTCCTTCCTTCCTTCCTTCCTTCCTTCCTTCCTTCCTTCCTTCCTTCCTTCCTTCCCTCTTTCTTTCTTTCTTTCTTTCTTTCTTTCTTTCTTTCTTTCTTTCTTTCTTGCTTGCTTGCTTGCTTGCTTGCTTGCTTTTTCTTTTGTTCCTTTTTGACAGTGTCATGCCGTCACCCAGGATGGAAGGCAGTGGCGCCATCTCAGCTCACTGCAACTTCGCATCCTGGGTTTAAGCGATTCTCCTGCCTCAGCCTTCTGAGTAGCTGGGAGTGCAGACATCTGCCACTATGCTCGGCTAATTTTTTGTATTTTTAGTAGAGACGGAGTTTCACCGTGTTAGCTAGAATGGTCTTGATATACTGACCTCATGATCAGCCCACCTTGGCCTCTCAAAGTGCTGATGTTACAGGCATGAGCCACTGTGCCTGGGTCTGAGCTTTCTTTGTAGGCCTAATGTTGATGCTCTGATAAGAATCTCTATGTTCAATATTAGCGACAGGAAAGGACTCTAAGAAGGAGGAAACATGAATTATCAAATTAGAGTAGGAAGGGAGTGGGTGAGATTAAGATTTGGATGAAGGGTCCTGGAAAATGACTGGGGCCAATGGTTGCTGGGAAATGTTCCACTGTGGGAAGATCCCAGAGTCTAAAGGAAAGGTTTCCAAATGATAGAACAATGACGGACATATGGACCCTCGTTCATTTCTCTCTCACATCCTGTAGAGCCCACAGTTTCTACCTGGGTGGCTTCCAGCTTGGGACAGCCACCCTTCCCAGGTCTAGCCACAATCTTCTCTCTGGCCTCTGCTCCAGCTCACATTCTCAGATTCCATCTTTGCAAGCTGGTTTTCTGAGAGGAGCCCATCATTTTTGTGGGTAAACACCCTTTACCTTCTAGTAGGGCCAAGACTATACCTGCCCCCTGTGTTTTCAAAGTGAATGTTATGGTTTAAGTCTGCCCTATCTCTTTTGATGATTCTCCTTTTAATTTCTGAACTCAATCTAGGGTGGGTGAGATGGCTGATGCATGTTATCCCAGCATTTTGGGAGGCTGAGGTGAGGAGATCACTTGAGGTCAGGAGTTTGAGACCAGCCGGGCCAACATGGTGAAACCCCATCTCGACTAAAATACAAAAATTAGTAGGGCTTGTTGGAGTGCACCTGTAATTCCCAGCTACTTGGGAGGCAGAAGTGAGAGAATTGCTTGAACCCAGAAGGTTGAGGCTGCAGTGAGCTGAAATCGTGCCACTGCACTCCAGCCTGAGTGACAGATGTAGGCCCAGTCTGAAAATCAAAGAATCAATAAATAAACTCAATCTTGACAAAGGACTTTGAGTCCTGACATCTAGATGCCCACAAGATAACCGCCATGTTTTACATTGTCTTGTTTCCTTTGCAGGTTCCCATTAGAACACCTAGTCTCATTCCGCTCAGTCCCCACCTCACTTGGTCACTTTGTCCTGATTTCCTTCAGTGAAGCCTTGACTTAGTCTTGAGATAGATCACACCCTCAGTGGTTCCTTTCTTCTACCTGAATGTGCATATGATCTGCTATGTTAGATAGCATAAAACACAGGTGACCATTCGATATACACAGCTTTTTATTCTGTTTTCTTGGGAATGACATCACTATCTTCTTCAGGCTGTTGTAGCTCTGAAACATTTTGACAATTTTGATGTGGCCAAACATCCTCCAATAAGGACACCTTAAGGTTTTTTTTTTTTTGGTCTAATATCAGGAACAGATTAATCCCTTCCCTGTATCACTATGAAAGTCGTGTATTAGCGAAACTTCATCAGTATTTGAGGAATAAATGAATGAATGAGTTTTGGACTTTCACCCTATTATTTATTCTTTTACTTCCATAAATGTGTATCTAATTCGATCAATTAGTCAGAAGAAAGCTGAAAACTCAATCAGGATTAACTGGGTGTGACTGCAAGATCTAATCAGGTATCACTTTCTGATTGGAAGCTGGTGATTGAGAAGGGAAGGGTGGGGTTAGAAAGGTCTATAAAAGCTCCTGAGGGTACCCAGAAGAGACCCACAGCACTCATTCCTGGAGCTACTGGTTGGTTTCCTGAGAGGTCCCAGAACTCTGCGAAGTGAGTCCAGCGCTGGTAAGTCACCACCTGCTTAGGGTCATGCCCATCTGATCAGCAGCCAGCCAGTCAGGGACGGTGACACACATCCCAAAGTGGCACACAATATTTTTCTGTCTGTTTCGTGAGATGAACAGATTTAGGCTTTCATTTTTCCTCTAAATGTAGTTTTGTCTTCATCCATCAAATTGTGATTTGTGCTTGGTTTTTGTCATTTTAAAATTCTTATCGAAGCAGGTTTTTTAAAAATATATTAAAAATTTACAGTGACATGAATTTTTATTTCTTGACATTTGAAGTTATTTGTTTTTGTGCCCTTCAATTACAGTTCATAGACTTGGTGTTATTGTGATTCTCCAAGTATGCTTTCATTTTCATAAAATCCTTAAAGGTATCCCACACAGCAATCTCAAGAGTGCAGTTTTGCTCAGATCATGGGATTCATCTTTGCCCCTAGGATCTGTCCAAAAGTGGGTAATTGTGAGTATGTGGAAGTGATGTCTATAGGAACCTTCATCTTAGAGTTACAGTGCTCTAGAATAGCATGGTAGCACTTTTACGGTTTCTGGTTAATTTTTTTTTTCAGATGGAGTTTCCCTATTGTTGCCCAGGCTGCAGTGCCATGGTGTGATTTGGCTCACTGAAATTTCTGCCTCCTAGTTACATGCGATTCTCCTGCTTCAGCCTCCTGAGTAGCTTGGATTACAGGCACTCACCACCATGCCCAGCTAATTTTTGTATTTTTAGTAGACACAGGGTTTTGCCATGTTGGCCATGCTGTCCTCAAACTCCTGACCTCAGGAGATCTGCCCACCTCAGACTCCCAAAGTGCTGGGATTACATGAGTGAGCCACCGCGCCCAGCTACAGTTAGCATTTCTATACATACCTTCCAAATGCTGTGGAATACCATCACACCACTTTTACAGTTCCAGTGAATTTTGTTTTTTTCTGTGATGTACTCTGAGTGTGTCACCCAGACTGGAGTGCAGGGCCCTGAGCTGGGCTCCCTGGAAACTCTGCCTCTGGGCTTCAAGTGATTCTCCTTTCTCTGCCTCCAGAGTAGCTAGGATTACAGTCATGCATGACCACACCTGGCTAACATTTTAATTAACTTATTTATCAATTTGTTTTTGTTTGAGTCAGAGTCCAAGTCTGTCACCCAGGCTGGAGAGCAGTGGTGCGATCTTGGCTCATTGCAACTTCTGCCTTCTGGAGTCAAATGATTCTTAATTTTTTTATATTTAGTAGAGACATGGTTTCATTATGTAGGCCAGGCTGTTCTCAAATTACGGACCTCAAGTGATCTGCCTCCTTGGTGTCCAGCAGTGTTGGGATTACAGACATGAGCCACAGCACCTGGTCCATTTCTGGTAGAAAATTTTCAAAATAAAAAATAATGGCATCGATTTTAGGGAGTCCCTTTAGTGTTCCCCCAGCATGTTTATGGTGTAAACTGAGAATGGAGGCTGTCTGGGGCCACAGGACACTCTCATTCTCATTGCTTTAGGGTGGTAAGTGACAAGAAATTTTTCTTCAAAGAGGTAGAGCTTGGCTTTCAGGATCCTCAGTGGCACTGTCCGGTGGTTCTGGGATTCAGTGGAGCAATGGAAGAAAATTAATAAGTCAGTGGTCTCCATGACCCCTCCCTCCTTGGTGTTTGGAAGACATTCTTCCTGGTACCAGTAGAAGCAGATGATTGTCTTTGCCCTGAGAGTGACACATTTTCCCTGGATTTGTCTTCTAGAGATTTTCCTTGCAGATCTATCAGGATGAGCATCCAGGCCCCACCCAGACTACTGGAGCTGGCAGGGCAGAGCCTGCTGAGAGACCAGGCCTTGTCCATCTCTGCCATGGAGGAGCTGCCCAGGGTGCTCTATCTCCCACTCTTCATGGAGGCCTTCAGCAGGAGACACTTCCAGACTCTGACGGTGATGGTTCAGGCCTGGCCCTTCACCTGCCTCCCTCTGGGATCACTGATGAAGACGCTTCATTTGGAGACCTTAAAAGCATTGCTGGAAGGGCTTCATATGCTGCTTACACAGAAGGATCGCCCCAGGTGAGGTGACCCAGGAGGGCTGGTAGATAGGGCTCAGGTGTCCAGGGAAAGAACAGCAGGGTCAGGCAGAGAAGTAGCCCAAGTGTGGCCCAGAGTCTTCTGATGGTGTTGGCGAGGAAGATCAGGGAGGCTTTGGCCATTTTCCAGATCCTCAGAGAAAGGACTGCTCACCATACAGGGTCCACTGTGGGAACAGAAACCTGCCTTTACTCAGTGGAAGGTAAAGGGAATAGAAGTGGGGAATCAAAAGTCAGAATCAAAAGGGAACAGGGATTGAGAAAAGACAAAGAGAACAGGGAGCACTGAGGACAGGAGCAGCTGATTTATGGGATGACAATGAAAGCAAAGGTCAGGGATGAGTCCTTCTAAATTCTGAGTCTCTCCCTTACTTTACCCACAGGAGGTGGAAACTTCAAGTGCTGGATTTGCGGGATGTTGACGAGAATTTCTGGGCCAGATGGCCTGGAGCCTGGGCCCTGTCCTGCTTCCCAGAGACCACGAGTAAGAGGCAGACAGCAGAGGACTGTCCAAGGATGGGAGAGCACCAGCCCTTAAAGGTGTTCATAGACATCTGCCTCAAGGAAATACCCCAGGATGAATGCCTGAGATACCTCTTCCAGTGGGTTTACCAAAGGAGAGGTTTAGTACACCTGTGCTGTAGTAAGCTGGTCAATTATCTAACGCCGATTAAATATCTCAGAAAGTCATTGAAAATAATATACCTGAATAGTATTCAAGAGCTGGAAATTCGCAACATGTCCTGGCCACGTCTGATAAGAAAGCTTCGTTGTTACCTGAAGGAGATGAAGAATCTTCGCAAACTCGTTTTCTCCAGGTGCCATCATTACACGTCAGATAATGAACTCGAAGGACGGTTAGTTGCCAAATTCAGCTCTGTGTTCCTCAGGCTGGAACACCTTCAGTTGCTTAAAATAAAATTGATCACCTTCTTCAGTGGGCACCTGGAACAGCTGATCAGGTGAGAAAGGATCATGCACTTTGTATGCAGACCACAGCATAGCCTTGTTCTGTAACAGCAAACATTAGAATGCATGTACTGTGTGCCAGCCAGTGGCAACGTCACAGTGAAGGGGACATCAGAATGTCAACACATTGTCCCATTCAGTGTTCCATGTCCTGGAGTGGCTATCACAGGATCGCTCCAATAAGGGGAGAGGCGTCACCTGGGGTAGAAGCTAGAGAGGGACATCATGTACAAGCTAGTTAGTGGGGGTTTCAGCTCTATTGGGGGTGCACGTGTGAATTTCCTGTTACAAAGTGTGTTTCAAGTTGATATGATGTCAAAGAGATAATAGAGGAGGGTATGAAAGGAGGGAAAGCGCATCAAACCTGTCCATTTCACAATAGAACGTCTGTCCTCACCGGCTTAGTGATCACGAATGATCCTGTCTCTGATTCCCTGTTTGTAAAAGGTTGTTTTGAACTCCAGGAAAGGTAATTGACATGGGAAATGCGTGCTTCCGGGATGGAGGTGAGGGAGTAGGCGTGAGAGTGGTAAAAAGTGACAGTTGGTTTGCAGATGCAGGCATGTCAGGGAGCCCCTGCTGACATGTAGCTCTAGCTGATGTCCCTAGACCTTGCTCAGTTGAGTTCTTTGTTCACATCTCCCACCGGGTACCTGTGGCCCAGAGATGAAGTTTTCTGCTAAAAGATGAAAAAAAAAAGGCTTTAGAGATTTTATGGCCTTGAACCAATCACACAAGCAATGGTGAAAGGGCTGAGGCTAAAATGGGACAGCCCCTGAACGATCAGGGTCCTCATCATGCAGCAACTTCCATGAGGACCATCATCAGATGGTGGGAACAAACTTGTGTTTGTTTGACGCAGGCATTTTCCTAGATGAAGGCACTACCTTCATCTAACTGGTATCACTGCCCAGAACTAACTTCTTGATCTCCACAGGTGCCTCCAGAACCCCTTGGAGAACTTGGAATTAACTTATGGCTACCTATTGGAAGAAGACATGAAGTGTCTCTCCCAGTACCCAAGCCTCGGTTACCTAAAGCATCTGAATCTCAGCTACGTGCTGCTGTTCCGCATCAGTCTTGAACCCCTCGGAGCTCTGCTGGAGAAAATTGCTGCCTCTCTCAAAACCCTCATCTTGGAGGGCTGTCAGATCCACTACTCCCAACTCAGTGCCATCCTGCCTGGCCTGAGCCGCTGCTCCCAGCTCACCACCTTCTACTTTGGCAGAAATTGCATGTCTATTGACGCCCTGAAGGACCTGCTGCGCCACACCAGTGGGCTGAGCAAGTTAAGCCTGGAGACGTATCCTGCCCCTGAGGAGAGTTTGAATTCCTTGGTTCGTGTCAATTGGGAGATCTTCACCCCACTTCGGGCTGAGCTGATGTGTACACTGAGGGAAGTCAGGCAGCCCAAGAGGATCTTCATTGGCCCCACCCCCTGCCCTTCCTGTGGCTCATCACCGTCTGAGGAACTGGAGCTCCATCTTTGCTGCTAGGGAAGGCGTGCCCAGTGGGGTAGAGAAATCCAAAGTTCTCTTCCAGGCACTTGGACACTAAAATCTACTATGTGGGTGCAAACTATTTTTCTCTTTTCTTATTTATTTCATTTTTTAATAATTCCAAAATTTTTATTAAAGACAATTTGAGACAGGGTTTCGCTGTGTTGCTCCAGCTGGTCTCAAACTGCTGGGCTTATGGGATCCTCCTGCCTCAGCTTCCTAAAGTGCTGGGATTACTGGCATGAGTGACTGTGTCCAGGCCACATGCAACTTAAAGGAAGCACAGGCAAGTGTTCAGTGTGAGGGAAAAAACATAACAGCAGGGGGCAAGGTTGGAGGAAAATGTTGAGGTGACATCAGTGAGAACTTCAGGGACCCGTGTCCTAGAGTCGGAAAGAGAAGCTAAAGTTCTACAGTGATGAGACTGTTATCCCTGCAAGGATGGTTACCAAGGAATATCAGCAATAAAGAGCACCTGAATGAAAACTTTTAACCTGTTGTGCAATTTATCCATCAGAAATCTCTAGTTATCGAGTTACGGATGGAAAAATAACGAAATACTAATTTGTCTGTGATTGAGTTTCAGTTGTAGAACATCAAAGCAACCAAATAAAAATTAGATCATTTTGAGTATTTCCCACCCATTCTTGTTCTTTGTTTTGTTTTGGAGACAAAATCTCAGTTTGTCATTTAGGCTGGAGTGCGATGGTGCAATCTGGGCTCACTGCAATCCTGTCCTTCAGGGCTCAAGTGATTCTCGTGCCTCAACCACTCAAATGGCTGGGACTGCAGGCATATTCCACCAAGCCTGGGTGATTTTTGTATTTTTAATAAAGATGGGATTTTTCCATGTTGATCAGCCTGGTCTCAAGATCCTGTCTTCGAGTGATCCACCAACCTTGGCCTCCCAAAGTGCTGGGAAAACAGGTGTGCAGATGATCTCCACCCATTCTTTACTTCTCTTCAGTCATCAGTTTTTTTCTTCCTTTTTTTGCCTGCAGGGAGCAGCTCGGTCAGGCACAAAGGGACAGGCAGAGAGGGGCCCCAAGGAGAAGATAGGAATGGGGTGGTGCCCCGCTCGCACAAGAAGTGTGGATGCCAGGCCCAGAAAACAGAGCTGGGGCCATCCATCAGGGGGCCAGGGTGAGAAGCACAAGTGGCACCTGCTTCAAGGTCCTGTTGAGCTATCTGGCCACTGTGCCCATCCTGTTAACAGTGTCAAGCTCCTGGGTCTTGAAGGGAGGTTCCATGCGGATCCACCCCAGGCTGTTTTTCCAAGATCTGCCCCCTGTAGGGGAGACCATGGAGTCTGATTGCTGGGCCTGGGAACCACGAACCACTCCTGGAGGCCCCCCTCTTGGCAGGGTCATGAGCCAGGCCTGTGCTCCATGTCCCTGAGGCAGCCAGCTGTGCCACCCACACCCTCTCATGGCAAAATGGAACCTGGACCCAGGTCTGGAGTCTCCACCACAGCCTCTACCTCACTGCCCACTGCCTGCTGTTAGCCTGCAAGCTCCTGGATGATAGTACAGTTGGGGCTGGTTAAACCACACCCAGGAGCATTGGGTTTGTTTGTGCGGGGTTGGTCAGAGCTGCTGTGAACCTGCATCTCACCTGTCCTCTCTGTGGGGAAACACAGAGAGAGGGCACAGCCAAGGCTGCGTACACTTCGGAGCTGATGGGAGCCTGGGACAAGAGGGAGTCCTGGTCCTCTCGAGTTGGCAGGGCAGCAGCTCCAAAGGTGCAACTGAATCTGCCCAGGTCACAGTTACCAACTGAGGTCCCCCAGTGCTCTTGAGGGCCCAGGAGATCCCCACTTCTCCTTCAGCTTCAGGGTGTCTGTTCCCACTGCCTGGTCTCTCATGGCGCCTGCCCTAATTTTGGGGTGTGGTTGTGGTCGAGCCCGGATGCTGTCACAGCCCAGGTGGGTCTGTGAACATTTTGGTCAGTGCATATACAGCATCCCATGGCTGCCTTGAACCCTCTGGACTTTGGGCCCTGATGAGTATAGAAGGGGGGCTGAGGGGGGATTGCGGACAGATCAGCGCTGGTCTTTGGATGCTCCTTGGTACAAGTGACTTGGGCAACATGGTTGGTGGTGGGAGGGAGGCAGAATCTTGGACAGGAAGGTGAGAGTCACTGGTGAGGCTCCACCTTCTGACCAAGGAGGGCCTGAAGCCCGTAGGCTAGGCCACCAGTCCTACGGACCAGAATGGGAACATATGTTGCCTTTTCTGTGCCTGCTCATGGCCACCTATGACCCAATGAGCACATACTTTTCTCCAGTCTGATGCTGGAAAAACCCCAGACTCAGGGAGAACATCAGGAAGACCAGTGGCAGAGAGGAACTACCCACTACTGGGATGATTTTCCTGCAGAGACAAGCAACCCACTCTGGGTCTTTTTCTCTGCTGAGAGCTGTAGAGATGATGAGATGACTTTCCTGCAGAGAGCAGCAACCCACTCCAGGGCCTCCTCTCTACTGAGAGCAGTGGTGATGATGGAATAACCTGCCAGGAGAGAGGGGTCACCCACTCCAGCGCCTCCTGTCTGCTCAGAGCTGAACACTCATCAGGACACCCTGGCTGCAGAAAGAAGTTACCCACTGTGGGTCTCTGAGCTGTTCTATTGCTCAGTAAAGCTCCTCTTTATCTCACTCACCCTCCACTTGTCTGCATAATTCATTCTTCCTGGTCACAGAACAAGAACTTGGGACCCGCCTAATGGTGGGACTAAAAGAGCAATAACACAAACAAAGCTGAAACACAGCCCTTGCTCACCAAGTTGTAGGTGAAGAGAAAAAGAGAAGAGCTACTAATCTTCCAGGAGCCCAGACATGGGAGCTTCCTGAGCCAGGGCTGTTACTCCTTTCTGGGGGTTCTGCAGTTACTGGCATTTCCAAGCTTTCAGTATTGGTGTCACTGTGTATTCCAGTGACAACCATGGAAGCTGCTTGTGCTGTGCCTGGTTCATTTGCAGCCTTGACGAAATCTGGCACCCGTGCTGGCACCTGGAGCTGCCTGCCCCACTGCTGCAGCAGCAGCCAGTGACTGTCCAAAGTGGCCAGACCCCCTGCTCACTCACACACCCCTCACTGCTCTACCCCTGACCCGCCCTTAATAGGCATGTGCTCCAGGCCTAAAACATGAGTCAAGCATAGTCTACTAGGCTGCATGGGCAGAACGAACCCAGTGATCCCCATCAAAACTCTGGCAAAGGTGCCCCCAGCCACAGAGGTTTCTGGCCAGAAAAGTCACATTCCAAGGATTCCAGAAGAGAAAATTACTTAAACACAAAGAAAGACAATAAGAAAAGGATGGAAGAGAGAAGTCTCTAAACAACCAAAAAAACAAGAAATGAAATGGGAGTACTAAGCCTTTATCAATAAAAACAATGAATATAATTTATCTCACTTCTGCAAGTGAAAGGCATAGGGTCTTTGAATGAGTAAAAAAATAAGACCCTACTATATGCTGTTTTCCAGAAACTCACTTCACCTATAAGGATACATGTAGATGGAAAGTGAAGGGGTAGAATAAAGTATTCCATGCAACTGGAAACCAAAAAACAGCACGAGCATCTGTACTTATGTCAGGTAAAATAGATGCCAAATCTCAGAACGCACTCAGGTAAAACAGAATACAAATCTAAGCTTGTAAAATAATGGACTACACTTACACAAACTATGCCTAGAAAGAACATACATCAAAATAATAGAAGCCAAAAATGACAAATCCATATGCAACATCATATTGAATGAAGAAATGTTGAAAGTATTCCCACTAAGAACCAGAAGAAGACAAAAATGCTCACTTTATCCACTTGTAATCAACATAGGACTGAAAGTTTTTGTCAGAGCAATCTGGTAAGCAAAAGAAATAAAGGACATTTAAATTGGAAAGAAGGAAGTGAAACTACCTGTGTTTGCCAATGATATGATCGTATGTGCTTAGAAAACCTGAAATATTCCACCAAAAGACTCGTAGATGAGATAAATGAATTCACTTAAGTCTCAGGTCCAAAATCTGTATGTACAAATCAGTAACACCCTTTTATACCAACAACAAGCAAGCTGAGAATCAAATGAAGAACTCCATCCCTTTACAATAGTTGCAAAACAACAACAAAAACTGACAATAACAAAAACAACCTAGGAATACACTTAACCATTAGGTACAGGATCTCTACAAGGAGAACTACAAGACACTGCTGAAAAAAATCATAGATGACAAAAAAGGAGAAAAACGTCCCATGCTGATGGATTGACAGACACAATATCGTGAAAATGACCACACTGCCCAAAGCAATCTAAAAATTGCGAACATCAAACATCAATCTAAAAATTGCATACACCAAAATACAAACATCATTTCCACAGGATTACAAAAAGAATCCTAAAATTCATTTGGAGCCAAAAAAGAGGCTAAAGAGCCAAAGCAATCCTAAGCAAAATGAACAAATGTGGAGGCATCACATTACCTGACTTCAATTTATATGGTAAGGCAATAGTAAGCAAAACTGCATGGTGCCAGTATGAAGGTCAAGACATAGACCAATGGAACAGAATAGAGAATCCAGAAATAAAGCCATATACTTACAACCCAGTGGTAGGACTGCTGTTTATCAGTTTGTGCTGAGTGATGTCCTTTGGAGAAATGGGGCCAAAGTTACTGGATTTTTCCCCCAAGAAAAACCAGAGTGAATTGTAATATCCGGTGTGATTTTTAGACTCTGACTATTGCCATAGTGATTAGGTCATCTCCAGGTACCCAGAGACTCAATCACCAACCAGTGTCCACATTCTTGTCATCGCTGCAAGAAAGAGTTTAGGAAGTAGGCAGAATGAAGCAAAAGGCAAGAAGTGTCTATTGCAAAGCAAAGGTAGATACTCAAGAGAGGGCCAATTCAGGAGAGTGAGTTGTGTACAAGGGAGTTTGGGTTTCTAATTTTATAGGATCTCTAAGGAGAGGTTGAAATAATCGTTAGGATTTTAAGAAAAAATGGTGAAGTTTTCTTAGAACTGAAGTGTCACCTATTATTTATTTATGTATTTATTTATTTATTTATTTATGTTTTGAGATGGAGTTTCGCTCTTGTTGCCCAGGCTGGAGTGCAATGATCTTGGCTTACTGCAACCTCTGCCTGCTGGGTTCAACCAATTCTCCTGCCTCAGCCTCTGGAGTAGCTGGGATTACAGACATCTGCCACCACACTCGGCTAATTTTGTATTTTTAGTAGAGACGAGATTTCTCCATGTTGGTCAGGATGGTCTCAAACTCCCGACCTCAGGTGATCCACCCACCTTGGGCTCCCAAAGTGTTGGGATTACAGGTATGAGCCACTGGGCCTGGCTAGGTTTCACCTGTTTTTGTACTAAATATGGGCATTCTCAGAACCGTCCTGGCGCTGGTGTGTGATTTACTGTCATAATGGGTGTATAATTAGGCCTGGGGTAGGGCAAGGGTCAAACCCAGTGCCATGTCTGACCAATTCAGTGTCAGCCAGCTTAGCCCCGTCCTGCTTGTTTGGGTCTTATTGGTCAAGGCTTATCCTTATTCTTGTAGCTAATTTTACAAGCTCTTCTCTTGCTGCTGTATGAAATCACTGCTTGATATTTTCATGCTTCTCCTGTGACCAGCCAGCTTTCCTATTTTATGGGTATTTCTTTTCTTTTCCCTTCCCTTCCCTTCCCTTTGCTTCCCCTCCCCTCCCCTCCCCTCCCCTGTCCTGTCTGTCTTTCTTTCTTTCTTTCTTTCTTTCTTTCTTTCTTTCTTTCTTTCTTTCTTTCTTTCTTTCTTTCTTTCTTTCTTTCTTTCTTTCTTTCTTTCTTTCTTTCCCTCCCTTCCTTCCTTCCTTCCTTCCTTCCTTCCTTCCTTCCTTCCTTCCTTCCTTCCTTCCTTCCTTTCTTTCTTTCTCTCTCTCTCTCTCTCTCTCTTTCTTTCTTTCTTTCTGTCTTTCTTCTTTCCACTTTAAGTTCTGGGATACATGTGCAGAATGTGCAGTTTTGTTACATACGTATACACATGCCATGGTGGTTTGCTGCACCCATCAACCCGTCATCTACATTAGGTATTTCTCCTAATGCTACCCCTCTCCTAGTGCTCCACACCCTGAGAGGCCCTGATGTGTGATGTTCCCCTATCTGTGTCCATGAGTTCTCATTGTTCAACTCCCACTTATGAGTGAGAACATGAGGTGTTTTGGTTTACTGTTCCCGTGTTAGTTTGCTGAGAATGATGGTTTCTAGCTTCATCCATGTCCCTGCAAAGGAAATGAACTTATTTTTTATGGTTGCATAGTATTCCATGATGTATATGTGCCACATTTGCTTTATCCAGTCTATCATTGATGGGCATTTGGGTTGGTTCCAAGTCTTTGCTGTTGTGAATAGTGCTGCAGTAAACATACTTGTGCATGTGTCTTTATAGTAGAAGGATTTATAATCCTTTGGATATATACCCAGTAAAGGGATTGCTGGATCAAATGGTATTTCTGGTTCTAGATCCTTGAGGAATTGCCACACTGTCTTCCACAATGGTTGAACTAATTTACACTCCCACCAACAGTGTCAAAGCATTCCTATTTCTCCACATCCTTTCCAGCATCTGTTGTTTCCTGACTTTTTAATGATCACCATTCTAACTGGCCTGAGATGGTATCTCACTGTTGTTTTGATTTGCATTAGAGAAGTGCAAATCAAATGACCAGTTATGATGAGCATTTTTTCATATGTCTGTTGGCCGGATAAACGTTTTATTTTTGAGAATTGCCTGTTAGTATCCTTCACCCACTTTTTGGCAGGGTTGTTTGTTTTTTTCTTGTAAATTTGTTTAAGTTCCTTGTAGGTTCTGGATATTAGTCATTTCTCTGATGGATATATTGCAAAATTTTTCTCCCATTCTATAGGTTGCCTGTTGACTCTGATGACAGTTTCTTTTGCTGTGCAAAAGCTCTTTATTTTAATTAGATCCCATTTGTCAATTTTGGCTTTTGTTGCCATTGCTTTTGGTGTTTTAGCCATGAAGTCTTTGCTCATGCCTATGTCCTGAATGGTATTGCCTACGTTTTCTTCTATGGTTTTTATGGTTTTAGGTCTTACATTTAAATCTTTAATCCATCTTGAGTTAATTTTTGTATAAGGTGAAAGGAAGGGGTTCAGTTTCAGTTTTCTGCATATGGCTAGCCAGTTTTCCCAACACCATTTATTAAATAGGGAATCCTTTCCCCATTGGTTGTTTTTGTCAGGTTTGTCAAGGATCAGATGGTTGTAGATGTGTGGCATTATTTCTGAGGCCTCTGTTCTGTTCCATTGGTCTACATATCTGTTTTGATAACTGTACCATGTTGTTTTGGTTACTGTAGCCTTGTCGTATAGTTTGAAGTCAGGTAGCATGATGCCTCCAGCTTTGTTCTTTTTGCTTAGGATTGTGTTGTGTATACAGGTTCTTTTTTGCTTCCATATGAAGTTTTAAGTAGTTTTTCTAATTCTGTGAAGAAACTCAATGATACCTTGATGGGGATAGCATTGAATCTATAAATTACTTTGGGCATTATGGCCATTTTCACAATATTGATTCTTCCTACCCATGAGCATGGAATGTTTTTCCATTTGTTTGTATCCTCTTTTATTTCATTGAGCAGTGGTTTGTAGTTCTTCTTCACATCCCTTGTAAGTTGTATTCCTATGTATTTTATTTTATTTTAGCAATTGTGAATGGGAGTTCACTCATGATTGGTTCTCTGTTTGTCTATTGTTGATGTATAGGAATGCTCGTGATTTTTGCACATTGATTTTGTATCCTGAGACTTTGTTGAAGTTGCTTATCAGCTTTAGGAGATTTTGGGCTGAGACGATGGGGTTTTCTAAATATACAATCATGTCATCTGCAAACAGAGACAATTTGACTTCCTCTCTTCCTATTTGAATACTCTATTTCTTTCTCTTGCCTGATTGCCCTGGCCAGAACTTCCAATACTATGTTGAATAGGAGTGGTGAGAGAGGGCATCCATGCAGTGTGCCGGTTTTCCAAGGGAATGCTTGTAGCTTTTGCCCATTCAGTATGATATTGGCTGTGGCTTTGTCATAAATGGCTCTTATTATTTTTACATACATTCCATCAACACCTAGTTTATCTAGAGTTTTTAGCCTGAAAGGGTGTTGAATTTTATCAAAGGCCTTTTCTGCACATATTGAAATAATCATGTGGTTTTTGTCATTGGTTCTGTTTATGTGATGGATTACGTTTATTGATTTGCATAAGTGGAACCAGCCTTGCATGCCAGGGATGAAGCCAACTTGATCTTGGTGGATAAGCTTTTTGATGTGCTGCTGGATTCGGTTTGCCAGTATTTTATTGAGGATTTTTGCATCGATGTTCATCAGGAATATTGGCCTGAAATTTCCTTTTTTTTGTTGTGTCTCTGCCAGGTTTTGGTATCAGGATGATGCTGGCCTCATAAAAATGAGTTAGGGAGGAGACCCTCTTTTTCTATTGTTTGGAATAGTTTCAGAGGAATGGTAGAATTTGACTGTGAATTCTTCTGGTCCTGGACTTTGTTTTGTTGGTAGGCTATTAATTATTGCCTCAATTTCAGAATTTGTTATTGGTCTCTTTAGGCATTTGGCTTCTTCCTGGTTTAGTCTTGGGAGCATCTATGTGTCCAGGAATTTACACATTTCTTCTAGATTTTCTAACTTATTTGCATAGAGGTGTTTATAGATTCTCAGATGGTAGTTTGTATTTCTCTGGGATCAGTGGTGATATCCCCTTTACCATTTTTTATTGTGTCTGTTTGATTCTTCTCTCTTTTCTTCTTAATTTATCTGGCTAGTGGTCTATTTTGTTGATCTTTTCCTAAAAACCAGCTCCTGGATTCATTGATTTTTTGAAGGGTTTTTCATGTCTCTATCTCTTTCAGTTGTGCTCTGATCTTAGTTATTTCTTGTCTTCTGATAGCTTCTGAATTTGTTTGCTCTTGCTTCTCTAGTTCTTTTAATTGCAATGTCAATTTTAGGTCTTTCCTCCTTTCTCCTATGGGCATTTAGTGCTATAAATTTCCCTCTAAACACAGCTTTAGCTGTGTCCCAGAGATTCTGGTACATTGTGTCTTTGTTCTCATTGTTTTCAAAGAACTTATTTATTTCTGCCTTAAATTTGTTATTTGCCCAGTTGTCATTCAGAATCAGCTTGTTCAGTTTTCATGTAGTTGTGCAGTTTTGAGTAAGTTTCTTAATCCTGAGTACTAATTTGATTGCACTTTGGTCTGAGATACTGTTTGTTATGATTTCCATTCTTTCACATTTGCTGAGGAGTGTTTTACTTCCAATTATGTGGTCAATTTTAGAATAAGTGTGATATGGTGCTGAGAAAAATGTATATTCTGTTGATTTGGGGTGGAGAGTTTTGTAGATGTCTGTTAGGTCTGTTTGGTCCAGAGCTGCGTTCAAGTCCTGAATATCGTTGTTAATTTTCTGTCTCATTGATCTGTCTAATATTGACAGGGGTGTTTCTTTAATTAGAAGGTAGAATAGTCATTAGATATTCCAGGAAAGCAGAGGATTTCAGAGACTTGAAATTACCACCCCTTTCTTCCTTCTTTGGGTTTCTTTGGAAGAATCTTGGACAAGTCACTCTGACCGGGACTTTTGCCATTTTCTGGCTCTTATATTGAGTTTTGTTTTACCTTGTGTTCCTTTGCTGAGTTCTTATTTTATCTTTGCAGTTTTCCGTCTTCCTGAGACCAATCACTGGTATTCCTATGTGATGCCCATAAGGTTTTTTTCGTCTATTTTATAAAAATTTTATTAATAAAAATTGTATCTGTTCATGGGGTACAGTATGATGTTTTGATATATTCATACTCTACAATGTGGAATAGTGAAATCAAGCTATTTGGCATTCCTACCACTTCACATTCTTACTCTTTTTATGGGGAGACATTTAAAATTTACTGTCTCAGTATTTTCAATTATATAATATATTATTACTAACTATAGTCACCTTACTATGCTATAGATATTCAACTCACTCCTCCTTTCTAACTGAAACTCTATTTTTTAAAACATTATGCCAACACATATCTGGACACATTTGGCTTTTGGGATCCTACCCTCTCCTCTGAGATAGGAGAACAGTGCAGTGTGCCCTGTGGCCAGACCCAGAATGATCCTGATGGAATTAGAAAAGAAACTGCACCTCTTTCCTCTTCCAGATCTGATGTTGACCTTAGTTGAAGGTCTGGGATTTGAAAACTGCTGGGATTGGAATCCTGGCTCTCACCTTACTCCCACCTACACCAGTAGGATATATAGTCCATGGGAAGCATCTGGGAACATCTATCGTGTGAGTCCTAAGAATGAATAAATTGTATACACCTTTACAATTTTATTGAACAGGGTTATTTCATGAGTGTTATATTGTTCTTGGGTTTTTTTCTCTTAATAACATAAATGCCTTGAATTTAAAATGTCCTACAAAGACCTTGAGTCGTTGTCTTCATGCTGGCTTTTCACTTACTCTTCCCAACTTCGCTGAGTCAAGACCAAACTCTAGGAGGTGCTGTCAACCCATCGCTTTTCCTCAGGCCTCACACCCACTCCTGAAACCATAAGAGCAAGTCACATTGACTCTACCTCCAGGATGTCCCCAGGCTGTCTGCAGCCACACCAGGTGATGCCAAGACCTCCTGCCTGGGCATTGCAGTGGCCACCTTATTGTTGCCCCTGCCTCCTGGTTACCTCTCTCAGGGATCAAAGTCCTCCTGGCCATAATGGGGAACTGGAAAACAGGCCTCAGGTGGCCTCACCACCCCAGTCCAAAACTGCCAATGACTCCTGTGCCACCCCTGCCTCTGACTGCACCTCTCCAGCCTCATCTGCCTGTGCCACTTCACGACATGCCACTTTCAACCCTGGTCTTCTCATTCTGTCTGTTCCCCCTAAGTCCATGAGTTAGAGGCTGTGTTCATTTATGTGCGTTCTGAGTTGGTTTCCACTTTAGGAAAAATGCTGGGCGAATGGGGCAGGGGGTGGCTGATGTCTCTAGGTCTCAGGTGAGTAGAAGGGAGGCTTTTATCAACTGGGTTCTGTGAGAGAACCCCAGGCCCAGAGGGCATCTCTGCAATGACTTCATGGTATGTACATATATGTGTATGTGGTGTGAGCACTTAGAAAGTCACAACCCTCCAGGATGGAGCTGGCCTCATATAGATTAAGATGTTTTGCACTTGGCAGATAAATGTAAAATACCTCATGTCCCTGGCTGGGCAAATCCCCCAGGAGTCCAGCAAGAAGACATGGGATCTGTGGACAGGAGGCCACTGTGTGAAACCTCTCATTTGAGTATCATTTTAAAAGTTGCACTTGAGACCCTGAGTGCCCTATGTCCTTCCCACTCACCAAAGAACCCCAGCTGAGCCAGCCCTGACTCCAGACACAAGAGCCCAGGGAGGAGCTGGGAGAGAAGGACACCCGCTGTGACCTCAGGGCATGGAAGGAGCTCTGACCTTTCTGTTGATGATGCCTTCCCCACTCCCAAGTGCTTCTGGCCCTGAAGCTTCCAGTGACCCCTGCGTTCCATCCATGCCCTCCTCTCTTACCTCCAACCCTGCTTCTTCTAAAGTCCCATGCATTTGTCTGCATGTGAGTGCCCCAGTCTCAGGCTCTGGCAGTGGCTAAGAGGCTCGGGGTTCCTGTGCCTGTCTGGAGGCAACCTCACTCTATGTGGACCCACGTGGGTTCTTGGATTTCTTTCTTCACTGGGTCCCCTGCAAGTATACAGTAGATGCATCAACTCTAGAAGAGCAAATGGTGATGAGTGAAGACCCAGAACCGTCTCAGGCATGCACATGGAAAGAGAGAGAGCGGTCCCTGGAAGCACAGGTCTGGGGGTGGTTCCTGGGCACTTCTGTCTCCTCTAATAAAAGAGGTCAGTGACTTTGGCCACAGAATACACATCCACTTCTCATGGGTTCATATCCAAAGAACAAACTCCTTCAGACTCGCTGGTCCATGCACTCGAGATCCCCAGGGTATCTTGAGTTATTATGTCAAAAGGAGAGAGAAACCAGCTAACACTAGTCCTAATACTTATACGAATACCAAGAGGGATGTTTTCTTCTTGCTGTTCCAGGGAATGTGCTGAGTTAACACCTTTTTTCTTTTTATTGGAGCCGCTGTGGCAGGGAAGACAGTGGTGAGGGGCTTCCTTTGAGTAAAAAGCAGGTAAATTCAGCCCCTGCTTGCTCCACTGTCTGCCCCTCCAGGGCCTCTGTGTCCTGATGCAGAGTCCAGCCTGTTCTCACCAGGCTCGCATTCCTTATGCCAAGAGACCCACCAAAAAAGAAAGTCCCAAGAAACAGGAAGGAACACCACCAGCAAGAGACCTCACACTCACAGACCTCAGAG
Source organism: Homo sapiens (assembly GCF_000001405.40). NCBI lineage: Eukaryota > Metazoa > Chordata > Mammalia > Primates > Hominidae > Homo > Homo sapiens. The sequence continues at coordinate 12,808,407 of NC_000001.11, forward strand.
ATATTCATGGCCTGAGGGGCACAAAGGAGAGTGTGTTGGGAGCGGATCCCCACTTAGAAAGAAGCAAGACAGTGCCCCAAGGCCTGGAAGATGTCAGCTGCTTCCTCTGTGCTGTGCTGTGGGGAAGGCCATCACCGTTTTAACGCCTCTTGGTGAGTTTTTCCAAGGAAATAAAGCACTTGAATTCTTAGTATTTTGAATTACGGTGCACTTAATAAATATTAACTTCTTTTTGTTTTGTTTTAAGATGGAGTCTGACTGTGTCACCCAGGCTGGAGTGCAAAGGCAAAATCTCGGCTCACTGCTACCTCTGGCTCCCTGGTTCAAGAGATTCTTCTGCCTCAGCCTCCTGAGTAGCTGGGATTACAGCCACCTGCCATCATGCCAACCTAATTTTTCTACTTTTGTGGAGATGGGGTTTCACTATGTTGGCTAGGCTGGTATGAATTGCTGACACCAGGTGATCTGCCCTCCTTGGCCTCCCAAGTGCTGGGATTATGGGCTGAGCCACCGCACCTGGACAATATTAACTTTTTTCTTTCATTCTCCTGTACATTTCTAATTGGCAGTGAGAGTAGTGAATGTTCTGACAAAGAGTGATGAAAGGATTTGGGATAACCATCATTTTCCACATGGATTATGAAGATGGCTTTGCAGGACATGGGGCTCCCCCCTGTAATCTCAGCACTTTGGGAGCTCAAATTGGGAGGATGACTTGAGTACAGGCATTCAAGACCAGCCTGGGCAACAGTGAGACCTCGTCTCTACAAAAGATAAACAAAATGAGCCAGGCATGGTGGCACACACCTGCGTTTCCAGCAAATTGGGAGGCTGACATGGGAGGATTGCTTCAGCCTGAGAGGCTGAGCCTGCAGTGAGCTGAGATTGCACCACTGCACACCAGTCTTAGAAACAGAGTGAGGCCCTGTCTTTAAAAAGAAGAAACAAAAAAAAAAAAAAAGAAAAAGAAAAGAAAAGATGGCTGTTCGTGTTTTATCCTGCACAGGCATTCTTTTTCTGATCTGCACTGCAGTTCTGAGCCAGGTATATTCTGCTGAGCTCATTTTCCAGCTGCCTTGTGTCTTGTTTCAGCAGCACCCAGAATACCAGGATCTTTCTCAGCATCTTTCTCAGCAGCACCCAGAATACCAGGTGGCACGACCCAGGCACTCAGTGGAAGTTTTCTTGTTGTTGTTCTTGTTGTTGTTGTTTCTTGAGGTAGAGTTTCGCTCCTGTTGCCCACCCAGCCTGGGGTGCAATGGCTCTAGCTCAACTCGCCGCAACCTCGGCTTCCCGGGTTCAAGTGATTATCCTGGAACCACGCCTGACTAATAGGAAGGGGGAAGCACTGGGCGTTGAGAGTGTGAAATGTACCAAAATCTTCTCTGTTTTTTCCCCAGAGTCTCCCCCTTCAGCACCACCTGACAATCCTCAGCCCTGGACAATGTGAGATTTTTTTGACCGAGGATCACTGTGCTCCTTCAGGATCCACCAGAAAGTGCTGGTTAGCCTGATAGGCCCTGGTTTGACTTACATCTAGCAAGACCTTCATCTGGTTTGCAGGAGTAGATAGGGGGTCACTTGGATGACAGGGACTCCAGTCCAGACCCCATTCTCCCTCATTCCCTCCTGCAAAGTTCAATCCTCACAGTCCTCTGAGGCTGTGGCAAGTGCAGAAACAGAACTGCGCCTATCCAAAGTGCCTCCCTTCCCCTGGACTCATGCCAAGGCTTCCTCCCTCTGACCTGTCCCTTGTCTTTGCATCTAGGGTGGATGCTTGCCACTGACCCTCTCTCCCCAGGTTTCCCTGCTAGACTGACTTTCTGCCCCTGGGATTGGGTGGGGCAGCCAATGGAACCTCATGCAGACCAGGGTGAAATCAAAGGGCCTTGGAAACTCACAGCCCCACATCCAGGCCCCAGTCCTTTCAGAGTCTCAGATCCAAGTCCCCAGTTTATCAGGGATGTGGCTCTGTGAAAGCCAGAGAACCCGGTCCCCAGGGCTGCTGCCATCTCTCTCCTCCTCATTTACTCTGGCCCCCATCAGCTCCTCTGGGCCACTCCCTTTCTGGAGTCCCCCTGGCTCCATCCGGCGGCAGTGAGTTCGCAGATCTCCTGGACCCCAGGCTGCTACAGGCACCTCCCTCAACATCCACTGTCTGCTCTCAGAGTGACCTTCTCCTCATATCTTTATTGGAGGAAAAAAGAGGGGAAGCCCCTGGTCTTGGGGAAGATAGTTATAAATGCAATCTGGAATAAAACCCCCTTGAGGACTAGAGGAGGCCAGCAGGGCCTGACCAGAGATTTTTGACTGTTAGAAATGCACAGAGGGCAAACACCACAGGAAAAGCGCTGACTCAGAAACAGACTCACTGCATTCCAGGTGCAGCCTCCTCAGCTCTAAGGCTGGGCCAGCAGAGCCTGGGAAGGGATGGCCCCCACACTGGGACCATCCCAGGCTCTGCCAACAGCCTGGCACTTCTAGGAGAACCAGAGGAGTCGGCTCTTCCTGTGCAAGGTAGACAAGGTTCCCCTCCATTGGTCCCGGTTGCCTCTTTAGGTCCAGAGCAGCAGCTGAGGAGCTCCCTGCTTTATGCCTTGCTGTGGGCACTGAAATAGCTCAGTAGAATTTGGGGAGAATGTATGAGTCACTGCTGATTCCAGGGAGAGTGTTTCTTAGCATTGTTTGTGGCCATACTCCTGGGTGCAGGAGAGATTGGCTGACATTTCCAGGAAGCAGAGGACTCAGCTTCTCTGACAGCTCAGGCTGGGGGAGGAAAATTCAAGTTCAGAAATACTTTAGAACCCCGATGAAAAGCCTGGAGAAGCTTTGGAATCCCAGTAGAAATTCAGTGAGTGGAACTGAGGTTAAGCCATCCCTTCAGATGGACTCAAAAGGCTGCACTGACCTGGACAGCAGAGGAGCACCTTCAGAAGCACAGGCAACCAGAACATGGTAGAAAGACCCCCCAAACTGCAGGATTCTCGCTGGGGTCCTGAGGATGGTGCAGGATTTCCCCAAGGGGTTCATTTCTCTCACAAATTCTGCAGATACACAGCTTCCACCATTCATGCTTCCAGATCGAAAAGTCTCCCTCTTTATGTCTGACCACACTGCTCCTCTCTGGGCTCTGCCCCAGCTCACACACTCAGATTCACTCTTCCCAAGCTGGTATTCTGAGGGAAGCCCAACACGTTTGTGAGTAATGATGCCTCACCTTCAAGTAGGAGCCAAGACTGTGTCTGCTCTCTCTGCCCTCAAAGACACTGTGATGCTTTAAGGATCTGCATTATCTCTTTTGTAATTATGTTTTTTTAAAATTTTTAAACTCAATCTAGAAGGAAGTCTTTCAATCCTTTTGTCTAAATGCCCACAAAATACCTGCCATGTTTTATGTTGTCTAGCTTCCCTCCCAGGGTCCCATGAAAACACTCAGTCCTGTCCAGCCCAGCCCCCACATCACTTTGTAATTTAGGCCTGATTTCTTTCAGTGAATCCTTGACCTTAACCTTGAGATAAATTACACCCTCAGTAGTTCCTGTTTTCCACCTGAATGGGCATATGATCTACCATGTTAGGTAGCACAAAACCCAGGTGACAAGTGGATACACCAAGATTTTTATTGTGTTTTTCAGGGATGACATCACTGTCTTCTTAAAGTTGTTTTAACTCTAAAACATTTTGATGCTTTTGATGTGGCCAAAGGTTCTCTAATAAAGATACCACATATATATATATTTTTTTTTCTAATGTCAGAAACAGCTTAAATCCTTCCCTGTATCACTATGAAAGTCACATATTAGTCAAACTTTACCAGTGTTTATGGAATAAGTGAATAAATGAGTTTTAGACCTTCACCCTATTATTAATTCTTTCACTTTTATGAATCTATATCTAATTTAATCACTTAATAAGAAGAAAGTTGAAAACTCAATCAGGGTTAACTGGATGGAAGTTCAGGATCTAGTTGGATGTCATTTTTGGATTGGAAGTTGGTAATTGAGAAGGGGGTCGTGGTGAGAAAGGTCAATAAAAGCTCCTGAAGATGCACAGAAGAGACCCAAAGCCCTGGCTCCTGGAGCTACTGCTTGATTCTGGCAGAGGTCCCAGCACCCTGCAACGTGAGTCCAGATCTGGCAAGTCACCACTTATTAGGATTGGGAATGTGCCCATTTGATCTGATCTTCTGTATAGCACGTCATACAAAAAAGTCTGGAAGACGCTAGCACATACACTGTGAAGGGAAGTCACAGATAAGGGGAAGATTATAGAAGACATTTGCTCTGTGTTTTTGGAATGTTTTGCATTGAGAATTCTGTCCAGAGAAGGGAAAAAGGATGAAAATCAAATGAAGCTCACCCCCATGTACCTCTATGTACCTCTTACCATGCTGGACTTTCTTTTGTTTTGTTTTCTTTTCTCTTTTTTTTTTTTCTGATATGGCATCTAGCTCTGTTGCCCAGGCTGGAGTGCAGTGGCACGATCTTCAATCACTGCAACCTCCACATCCTGGGTTCAAGCAATTCTCCTCCCTCAGCCTCTCCAGTAGCTGGGACTACAGGTACATGCCACCATGCCTGGTTAATTTTTTTTATTATACTTTAAGTTTTAGGGTACATGTGTACAATGTGCAGGTTACTTACATATGAATACATGTGCCATGTTGGTGTGCTGCACCCAGTAACTCGCCATTTAACATTAGGTATATCTCCAAATGATATCCCTCCCCCCTCCCCCCACCCCACAACAGGCCCCTCTGTGTGATGTTCCCCTTCCTGTGTCCCTGTGTTCTCATTGTTCAATTCCCACCTATGAGTGAGAACATGCAGTGTTCGGTTTTATGTCCTTGCGATAGTTTGCTGAGAATGATGGTTTTCAGCTTCATCCATGTCCCTACAAAGGACATGAACTCATCTTTTTTATGGTTGCATAGTATTCCATGTTGTATATGTGCCACATTTTCTTAATCCAGTCTATCATTGTTGGACATTTGGGTTGGTTCTAAGTCTTTGCTATTGTGAATAGTGCCGCAATAAACATACTTGTGCATGTGTCTTTATAGCAGCATGATTTATAATCCTTTGGGTATATACCCAGTAATGGGATGGCTGGGTCAAATGGTATTTCTAGTTCTAGATCCCTGACGAATTGCCACACTTACTTCCACAATGGTTGAACTAGTTTACAGTCCCACCAACTGTGTAAAACTGTTCCTATTTCTCCACATCCTCTCCAGCACCCCTTGTTTCCTGACTTTTTAATGATCACCATTCTAATTGGTATGAGATGGTATCTCATTGTGGTTTTGATTTGAATTTCTCTGATGGCCGGTGATGATGAGCATTTTTTCATGTGATGATGAGCATTTTTTCATGTCTCTTTTGGCTGCATAAATGTCTTCTTTTGAGAAGTGTCTGTTCATATCCTTCACCCGCTTTTGGATGGGGTTGTTTGTTTCTTTTTTGTAAATTTGTTGGAGTTCATTATAGATTCTTGATATTAGCCCTTTTTCAGATGAGTAGATTGCAAAAATTTTCTCCCATTCTGTAGGTTGCCTGTTCACTCTGATGGTAGTTTCTTTTTCTGTGCAGAAGCTCTTTAGTTTAATTAGATCCCATTTGTCAATTTTGGCTTTTATTGCCATGGCTTTTGGTGTTTTAGACTTAAAGTCCTTGCCCATGCCTATGTCCTGAATGGTATTGCCTAGGATTTCTTCTAGGGTTTTTATGTTTTTAGGTCTAATGTTTAAGTCTTGAATCCATCTTGAATTAATTTTTGTATAAGGTGTAAGGAAGGGATCCAGTTTCAGCTTTCTACATATGGCTAGCCAGTTTTCCCAGCACCATTTATTAAATAGGGAATCGTTTCCCCATTTCTTATTTTTGTCAGGTTTGTCAAAGATCAGATGGTTGTAGATATGTGGCATTATTTCTGAGGGCTCTGTTCTGTTCCATTGGTCTATATCTCTGTTTTGGTACCAGTACCATGCTGTTTTGGTTACTGTAGCCTTGTAGTATAGTTTGAAGTCAGGTAGCGTGATGCCTCCAGCTTTATTCTTTTGGCTTAGGATTGACTTGGCTATATGGGCTCTTTTTTGGTTCCATATGAACTTTAAAGTAGTTTTTTCCAATTCTGTGAGGAAAGTCATTGGTAGCTTGATGGGGATGGCATTGAATCTTTAAATTTCCTTGGGCAGTATGGCCATTTTCACAATATTGATTCTTCCTACCCATGAGCATGGAATGTTCTTCCATTTGTTTGTATCCTCTTTTATTTCATTGAGCAGTGGTTTGTAGTTCTCCTTGAAGAGGTCCTTCACATCCCTTGTAAGTTGGATTCCTAGGTATTTTATTCTCTTTGAAGCTATTGTGAATGGGAGTTCACTCATGATTTTGCTCTCTGTTTGTCTGTTATTGGTGTATAAGAATGCTTGTGACTTTGCACATTGATTTTGTATCCTGAGACTTTGCTGAAGTTGCCTATCAGGAGATTTTGGGCTGAGACGATGGGATTTTCTAGATATACAATCATGTCATCTGCAAAGAGGGACAATTTGACTTCTTCTTTTCCTAATTGAATATCCTTTATTTCCTTCTCCTGCCTGATTACCCTGGCCAGAACTTTCAACACTTTGTTGAATAGGAGTGGTGAGAGAGGGCATCCCTGTCTGGTGCCAGTTTTCAAAGGGAATGCTTCCCATTTTTGTCCATTCAGTATGATATTGGCTGTGGGTTTGTCATAGATGGCTCTTATTATCTTGAGATATGTCCCATCAATACCTAATTTACTGAGAGTTTTTAGCATGAAGGTTTTTGAATTTTGTCGAATGCCTTTTCTGCATCTATTGAGATAATCATATGGTTTTTGTCGTTGGTCCTGTTTACATGCTGGATTCTGTTTATTGATTTTCATATGCTGAACCAGCCTTGCATCCCAGGGATGAAGCCCACTTGATCATGGTGGATAAGCTTGTTGATGTGCTGCTGGATTCACTTTGCCAGTATTTTACTGAGGATATTTGCATCGATGTTCATCAGGGATATTGGTCTAAAATTCTCTTTTTTTGTTGTGTCTCTGCCAGGCTTTGGTATCAGGATGATGCTGGCCTCATAAAATGAGTTAGGGAGGATTCCCTCTTTTTCTATTGATTGGAATAGTTTCAGAAGGAATGGTAACAGCTCCTCCTTGTACCTCTGGTAGAATTCGACTGTGAATCCATCTGGTCCTGGACTTTTTTTGGTTGGTAAGCTATTAATTATTGCCTCAATTTCAGAGCCTATTATGGATCTATTCAGGGATTCAACTTCTTCCTGGTTTAGTCATGGGAGGGTGTATGTGTCGAGGAATTAATCCATTTCTTCTAGATTTTCTAGTTTATTTGCATAGAGGTGTTTATAGTATTCTCTGATGGTAGTTTGTCTTTCTGTGGGATCCGTGATGATATGCCCTTTATCATTTTTTATTGCATCTATTTGTTTCTTCTCTCTTTTCTTCTTTATTAGTCTTGCTAGCAGTCTATCAATTTTGTTGATCTTTTCAAAAAACCAACTCCTGGATTCATTGATTTTTTGAAGGGTTTTTTGTGTCTCTATTTCCTTCAGGTCTGCTCTGATCTTAGCTATTTCTTGCTTTCTGCTAGCTTTTGAATATGTTTGCTCTTGCTTCTCTAGTTCTTTCTTTTTTTTTTTTTTTTTTTTTTCCTTTCTTTTTTTTTTTTTTATTATACTCTAAGTTTTAGGGTACATGTGCACATTGTGCAGGTTAGTTACATATGTATACATGTGCCATGCTGGTGCACTGCACCCACTAATGTGTCATCTAGCATTAGGTATATCTCCCAATGCTATCCCTCCCCCCTCCCCCCGACCCCACCACAGTCCCCAGAGTGTGATATTCCCCTTCCTGTGTCCATGTGATCTCATTGTTCAATTCCCACCTATGAGTGAGAAGTTCTTTCAATTGTGATGTTAGGTTGTCAATTTTAGATCTTTTCTGCTTTCTCTTGTGGGCATTTAGTGCTATAAATTTCCCTCTACACACTGCTTTGAATGTGTCCCAGATATTCTGGTATGTTGTGTCTTTTTTCTCATTGGTTTCAAAGAATGTCTTTATTTCTGTCTTCATTTCGTTATGTACCCAGTAGTCATTCAGGAGCAGGTTGTTCAATTTCCATGTAGTTGAGCGGTTTTGAGTGAGTTTCTTTTATTATTATTATTATGCTTTAAGTTTTAGGGTACATGTGAACAACGTGCAGGTTTGTTACATATGTATACGTGTGCCATGTTGGTGTGCTGCACACATTAACTCGTCATTTAGCCTTAGGTATACCTCCTAATGGTATCCTATGCAGCCATAAAAAATGATGAGTTCATGTCCTTTGTAGGGACATGGATGAAGCTGGAAACCATCATTCTCAGCAAAGTATCACAAGCACAAAAAACCAAACACTGCATGTTCTCGCTCATAGGTGGGAGTTGAACAATGAGAACACATGGACACAGGAAAGGGAACATCACACACTGAGTGAGTTTCTTAATCCTGAGTTCTAGTTTGATTGCACTGTGGCCTGAGAGACAGTTTGTTATAATTTCTGTTCTCTTACATTTGCTGAGGAGTGCTTTGCTTCCAACTATGTGGTCAATTTTTGGAATAAGTGCAGTGTGGTGCTGAGAAGAATGTATATTCTGTTGATTTTGGATTGTGAGTTCTGTAGATGTCTATTAGGTCCGCTTGGCGCAGAGCTGAGTTCAATTCTTGTATATCCTTGTTAACTTTCTGTCTCATTGATGTGTCTAAAGTTGACAGTGGGGTGTTGAAGTCTCCCATTATTATTGTGTGGGAGTCTAAGTCTCTTTGTAGGTCTCTAAGGACTTGCTTTATGAATCTGGGTGCTCCTGTATTGGGTGCATCTATATTTAGGATAGTTAGCTCTTCTTGTTGAATGGATCCCTTTACCATGATGTAATGGCCTTCTTTGTCTCTTTTGATCTTTGTTGGTTTAAAGTCTGTTTTATCCAAGACTAGGATTGCAACTCCTGCCTTTTTGTGTTTTCCATTTGCTTGGTAGATCTTCCTCCATCCCTTTATTTTGAGCCTATGTGTGTCTCTGCACGTGAGATGGGTTTCCTGAATACAGCACACTGATGGGTCTTGACTCTTTATCCAATTTGCCAGTCTGTGTCTTTTAATTGGAGCATTTAGCCCATTTACATTTTAGGGTAATATTGTTATGTGTGAATTTGATCCTGTCATTATGATGTTAGCTGGTTATTTTGCTCGTTAGTTGATGCAGTTTCTTCCTAGCCTTGATGGTCTTTACAATTTGGCATGTTTTTGAAGTGGCTTGTACCAGTTGTTCCTTTCCGTGTTTAGCACTTCCTTCAGGAGCTCTTGTGGGGCAGGCCTGGTGGTGACAAAATCTCTCAGCATTTGCTTGTCTGTAAGGAAATTTATTTCTCCTTCACTTATGAAGCTTAGTTTGGTTGGATATGAAATTCTGGGTTGAAAATTCTTTTCTTTAAGAATGTTGAATATTGGCCCCCACTCTCTTCTGGCTTGTAAAGTTTCTGCCAAGAGATCCGCTGTTAGTCTGATGGGGTTCCCTTTGTGGGTAACCCGACCTTTCTCCCTGGCTGCCCTTAACATTTTTTCCTTCATTTCAACTTTGGTGAATCTGACAATTATGTTTCTTGGAGTTGCTTTTCTCAAGGAGTATCTTTGTGGCATTCTCTGTATTTCCTGAATTTGAATGTTGGCCTGCCTTGCTAGATTGGGAAAGTTCTGCTGGATAATATCCTGAAGAGTGTTTTCCAGCTTGGTTCCATTCTCCCCATCACTTTCAGGTACACCAGTCAGATATAGATTTGGTCTTTTCACATAGTCCCATATTTCTTGGAGGCTTTGTTCATTTCCTTTTATTCTTTTTTCTCTGAACTTCTCTTCTCACTTCATTTCATTCATTTGATCTTCCATCACTAATACCCTTTCTTCTAGTTGATTGAATCAGCTACTGAGGCTTGTACATTTGTCACGTAGTTCTCATGCCATGGTTTTCAACTCCATCAGGTCCTTCAAGGAATTCTCTGCATTGGTTATTTTAGTTAGCCATTCTTCTAATTTTTTTTTCAATGTTTTTGACTTCTTTGCCATGGGTTCGAACTTCCTCCTTTAGCTCAGAGTAGTTTGATCATCTGAAGCCTTCTTCTCTCAACTCATCAAAGTCCTTCTCCATCCAGCTTTGTTCCATTGCTGGTGAGGAGCTGCATTCCTTTGGAGGAGGAGAGGCACTCTGATTTTTAGAGTTTCCCATTTTTCTGCTCTGTTTTTTCCCCATCTTTGTGGTTTTATCTACCTTTGGTCTTTGATGATGCTGATGTACAGATGGGGTTTTGGTGTGGATGTCCTTTCTGTTTGTTAGTTTTCCTTCTAACAGTCAGGACCCTCAGCTGCAAGTCTGTTGGAGTTTGCTGGAGGTCCACTCCAGAACCTGTTTGCCTGGGTATCAGCAGAAGAGGCTGCAGAACAGCGAATATTGGTGAACAGCAAATATTGCTGCCTGATCGTTCCTCTGGAAATTTTGTCTCAGAGGAGTACCTGGCCATGTGAGGTGTCAGTCTGCCTCTACTGGGGTGTGCCTCCCAGTTAGGCTACTCAGGGGTCAGGGACCCACTTGAGGAGGCAATCTGTCCGTTCTCAGATCTCCAGCTGCATGCTGGGAGAACCACTACTCTCTTCAAAGCTGTCAGACAGACAGGGACATTTAAGTCTGCAGAGGATTCTGCTGCCTTTTGTTTGGCAATGCCCGGCCCCCAGAAGTGGAGTCTACAGAGGCAGGCAGGCCTCCTTGAGCTGCAGTGGGCTCCACCCAGTTCCAGCCACCTGGCTGCTTTGTCTACGTACTCAAGCCTCGGCAATGGCAGGCGCCCCTCCCCCAGCCTTGCTGCCGCCTTGCAGTTTGATCTCAGACTGCTCTGCTAGCAATGAGTGAGGCTCCATGGGCATAGGACCCTCTGAGCCAGGCATGGGATAAAATCTCCTGGTGTGCCATTTGCTAAGACCATTGGAAAAGTGCAGTATTAGGGTGGGAGTGACCTGAATTTCCAGGTGCCGTCTGTCACCCCTTTCTTTGACTAAGAAAGGGAATTCCCTGACCCCTTGCCCTTCCCAGGAGAGGCAATGCCTTGCCCTGCTTTGGCTCACGCTCGATGCACTGCACCCACTGTCCTGCACCCACTTTCTGACACTCTCCATTGAGTTGAACCTGGTACCTCAGTTGGAAATGCAGAAATCACCCGTCTTCTGCACTGTTCATGCTGGGAGCTGTAGACTGGAGCTGTTCCTATTCGGCCATCTTGGCTCAACCCCCTAGTTAATTTTTGTGTCTTTAATAGAGAAAGGGTTTCATCATATTGGCCAGAGTCGTCTCAAACTCCTGACTGAAGTGATCCACCCACCTTAGTCTCTGAAAGTGCTGGGATTACAGATGTGAGCCACTGTGCCTTGTCAATTGCTGGACTTTCATGATACACATGGAGTATCCACAGTATCACAAGGGCCATTTTTTCCATAATCCAATTTATTTATATTATTGGTAGTGAGCTAATGTTGATGTCGCCAAGGTAGCAATTTAGTGACTATACCCATGATAAACGTTTCCATGCATCACGTGGTCAACAGCATTTGCTACCAAGTGCCACGTTCCATGCTCAGCAGTAGGAACATAGGATGATTGAGACAAAGTTCCTGACCTTTAGCAGCAATATCGAACAAGTGAGATTGTCAAGAAAGAAGAAATCATTGTAAAACATACCATACCCCTACAATTCCGTAATCATGCTCCTGGATATTTAATGAAATGAGTAAACCCACAGCTGGATGTTTATAGTAGCTTATTCATAATCACTAAAACCTGGAAGCTAGCAAGTTGGCCTTCAGTCAGTGACTGGATAAGCAAACTGATCCATCCAGTCAGTGAACTATTATGAAGCCTTAAAAAGACATGAAAGATTCTTAAATGCACGTTATTGTACAAGTGAAAGAAGGCAATGTGAAAAGACTCATCCTGTTAGACATTTGCCTTTTTCTATGGAGATAGTAGAAAGCCCAGTGGTTGTGAGGGGTTGGGAGTACAATGGGATGAATGGGAAGAGGACAGAGGACTTTTAGGGGAACAAAACTAGTCTCCATGATGCTCTAATGGTGGATATGTGTCATTATCCCTTTGTTAAAATCCATAGAATGTACAAAACCAGCAATGATCCCCCATGTGAACTATGGACATTGGGTGATAATGATGTGTCCCTGTGGCTCATTGATTGTGACGAATGCTCTGTGCTGGTGTGGGTGCTGATCCTGTGGGGGTGCTGTGTATTGAAGGGGGAAGAAGGTAGATGAGAACTCTGCAGTTTCTGCTTAGTTTTTCTGTGAATCTAAAGCTGCTATAAAGAAAAAAATAGGCTGGGCGTGGTGGCTCACGTCTATAGTCGTAGCATTTTGGGAAGCTGAGGTGGGTGGATCACCTGAGGTCAGGGGTTCGAGATCAGCCTGACTAAAATGACAAACCCTGTCTCTATTAAAAAATAATAATAATTATAATACAAAAATTATCCAGGTGTGGTGGTGCATGCCTGTAATCCCAGCTACTCTGGAGGCTGACACAGGAGAATTGCTCGAACCCTGGAGGCAGAGGTTGCAGTGAACTGAGATCGTACCACTGCACTCCAGCCTGGATGACAGAATGAGACTCCATCTCCAAAATAAATAAATAAATAAACTCAAGGCTGGGTGCGGTGGCTCATGCCTATAAGGGCTCACTCCCAGCAATTTAGGAGGCCGAGGCAGGTGGATCGCTTGAGCCCAGAATTTCAAGACCAGTCTGGGCAACATGGTGAAACCTGGCAAAAATAAGCCAGGCATGATGGTGCATGCCTGTCGTTCCAGCTACCAGGGGGACTGAGGCAGGGAGATCACCTGAGCCTAGGAGGTCAAGGCTGCAGTGAGCCGTGATCATGCCACTGCACTCCAATCTGGACGACAGAGTGAGACCTTGTCTCAAAATAAAATAAAATGAAATAAACTCAAGATTTTTAAAAACTGTAATGTTTCCTTTCAAAGATAAAATTGTATTGTTCTAAATATATTTTAAAGAAGAAATGATTATTGTTCAGTGTCTTTAAAATTAGTTTTCAAAATCTCATTTGTTTTGACATTTCAAACCAAGTTAAGTATTCTTTTTCTCACCCTCCTTGGGACGGAGTCTTCCTCTTTCACCCAGGCTGGAGTGCAGTGGTGCATTCTCGGCTCACTGCAACCTTTGCCTCCCAGGTTCAAGCGATTCTCTTGCCTCAGCCTCCTGACTATCTGGGATTACAGGCACCTGTCACCACGCCAGGCTAATTTTTTGTATTTTTCGTAGAGACCGGGTTTCATCATGTTGGACAGGCTGGTCTGGAACTCCTGACCTCGTGATCTACCCACCTCGGCCTCCCAAAGTGCCAGGAATACAGGCATGAACCACCACACCTGGCCATTAACCATTCTTAAAATATCACGTTGCATTCTTTCAAAGTTCTAATCTTTCATATACATAAATTACAACACAAATAGTTATACTCTAATAGTATTCACACTATAGTAAATTTTTTTTTCATGCTCTGTCGCCCAGGCTAGAGAGCAGTGGCGCGATCTCGTCTCATTGCAATCTTCTCCTCCCGGGTTCAAGTGATTGTCCTGCCTCAGCCTCCTGAATACCTAGGATTACAGGCGAATGCCACCACTCCCAGCAAATTTTGTGTATTTTTAGTAGAGACGGGGTTTCACCATGTTAGCAAGGCTGGTCTCAACATCCCGAGGCTGCCTCGGCCTCCCAAAGTGCTGGGATTAGAGGTGTGAGACACCATGCCCAGCCATAATAATAAATGTTATTTTATCTTTTTTTTGAGATGGAGTTTTGCTACTGTTGCCCAGGCTGGAGTGCAATGGCTCAGTCTGAGCTCACCGCAACCTCCACCTCCCAGGTTCAAACGATTCTCCCGCCTCAGCCTATCGAGTAGCTGCAATTACAGACGTGTGCCACCACGCCTGGCTATTTTTTGTATTTTAAGTAGAGAAGGGGTTTCTTCATGTTGCTCAGGCTGGTCTCAAACTCCCGACCTCAGGTGATCCACCTGCCTCAGCCTCCCAAAGTGCTGGAATTACAGGCATGAGCCACTGCACCTGGCTCATAATAGTACATTTTTAAAAACACCATAAAATATAATCCTTGCAACACTCAATTATACCATCTGGTCCGATCTATCAGCAGATGGCACCCGAGACATACGGATTGGAAATTTTGATCTTATTATGAATGAATCCAGTCCAGAAATGCCCACCCTGCCCCCTGCTGGCTCCTGGGGCTCTGCTCTTTGGGGGAATCATGATGAAATTGTGGCAGAGAGTAGAAGTTGAGCCCCATTGCATGCCCTGAGTTCTTGTTGCCTCTCTATTATCAGGAAAAGGAGGTGAGATTGAAAGATGAAAAATGCTGGGACTTCTGCTGAGAAGAGAAAAAAGAACAAGATGTATTGATCTTACTGTATGCCAGACCCCATGCCAAGCCCTAAACATGAACCATCTCATTGGATCCTACCAAGGTCCCATAAGCTGTTGGATATCATCATCCTCATTTTACAGGAAGCTGAGGCTCTAGGCTAACATCCCTGACAGCAACACCAGCCCCTGAGTACACAGCAGGATCCTTCACTTGGGTGCCCACTATGCAGGCTTCCTCACCACAGGGAAGGTCACTCATCACCCACAGGCACTTGATCGTTATCCACCCTTTGATGATGTCAGATTCCAGAACATGCTGCACTAGTCACTTCCTTCATAGGGAGAGAGGGAAGGTGTTATGAGAAAATCTCTCATCAATCTGACCTAGCTCCCCAAAAAGATGTAACTTTTAAAATGTCAGATGGAAATATTTAAAAAGTGTTACATGCCTGTATAGTTTTAGTATTTTACTTAAAGGGAATGTGGCTGTCTTTACTGGCTACAACAAGTTTAATTCAAGAAGGGCTGCTGGTCATCAGGGGAACAAGCAAGGGTTGGTGCTGCCCAGAGTCTCCAGCTAATACACAATATGGACATCCCCTTCCAGGGCAGCGGGAAGAGACTGGCTCCTTGTGCAGTGAAGCTGACATCCACCAACTAAGGCTTCTGGAAGCATGTGGAGACTCACAGGGAGTGGGCAGGGTCTCAGCATCTGGATAGCGGTGAAAGACGCTGAGAAGAAGGTGCTTTCCGTGTGGATTGGCTCACTGTTCTTGCCCAGCAATGTTCCAGGCCTTTGGTGTCCACCTAGTGTGTATTAACCCACTGAACAGCCACAGAAACTAACAAGGAGTTAACAGACATCTAAAGAAGTGAAGAACTGGAGGAGGCCAAGCCAAGCGTGGTGGTCCACGCCTATACTCCCTGCATTTTGGGAGGCCAAGGCAGGAGAATCACAAGCTCAGGAGTTCCAGATCAGCCTGGGGAAGACAGCGAGGCCTTGTTTCTACTAAAAAAAAGTATCCAGGTGTGGTGGCTCACACAGCT
Organism: Homo sapiens; assembly: GCF_000001405.40. Classification (NCBI taxonomy): domain Eukaryota; kingdom Metazoa; phylum Chordata; class Mammalia; order Primates; family Hominidae; genus Homo; species Homo sapiens. The sequence goes on from NC_000001.11 coordinate 12,823,986, forward strand.
GTAGTCCTAGCTACTCAGGAGGCTGAGGTGGGAAGATCGCTTGAACCCAGGAAATTGAGGCTGCAATGAGGTATGATTGTGCCACTGCACTGTAGCCTGAGTGACAGGAGACCTTTAAAAAACAAAAACAAAAACAAAAACAAAAGCCTGACACAGTGGCTCACACCTGTAACCCCAGCACTTTGGTAGGCCTACTTGCGTGAATCACCCAAAGTCAGGAGTTTGAGACCAGCCTGGCCAACATAGTGAGGAAACCCTGTCTCTACTAAACATACACAAATTAGCTGGGCATGGTGGTGCATGCTTGTAATCCCAGCTACTTGGGAGGCTGAGGCAGGAGAATCATTTAAACCCCAGGTGGAGGTTGCAGTCAGCTGAGATGGCACCATTGCACTCTAAACTCCAGCCTGGGCGACAAGAGTGAAACTCTGTCTCAAATAAAAGAATGGGAGGAAACTGGTTACAATAACCAAATTTCATTTAAATGCCTTGATTTTCTTGGGCTGCATCTTATTGATTGGACAACTCAGTCAGTGCCTTTTGTTTTTTCCATCAATAACTGAAGATTCCTGAGGCTTAAACTGGAAAACAGGTTACTTAATAATAGAGGGCACCAGACAGATTCTGCTCAGTTTTCCTTTATTTCTGATTGTTTCTTTACAACCATCCATGCAAGAGTAACTCCCTCATGTATTCTCAAGCCTGAATTCCACTCTAGACATTCAGATTCCCATTTTCGACTCTACAGGATACAGGTTCCCAAAGTCCCATTGAATCCATGGCAACATTTCCCCCAAGTCCTGCCCCTGCTTGATCAGCTTTCCTTTCCCACTTTCAGAGCCCATGTGTGAAACGATGGGTTCTGTGCTCCCTTTAGGATGTACCTAAGACCTAGGTTTTAGTTTCCAAGTGTCCAGAAGAAAGCGTTTGACATACCCATCCAAATAGGCAGGCATTCAACAGCAGTATTGATCTGCCTCCAGGTCATAAAATGACCTGTCGCCATGGTCAGGGCAGTTGTCAGTACAGAACAAGATCCTCTTGGGGTGCCTTAAGTGCCTCACTTTCTTCATCAGCTCAGCCCTAATTTGAGCAAATCTGCTCCAGCAGAGAGTACCATCAGCACCATAACTTTCCTGCGGGGCAGGATACAGCTCCAGGCATAAGTTTTTGAGTATGATTGTGTGGCTCAGCAGGTTCTCCAGGGTGGCCATGCAGATGGGATTTCCACAGAAGCTGAAGGTGTTGAGCTCAAAGCAGCGGCTCAGGGCAGGCAGGATGGCGTTGACTTGGGAGTCTATGATGCCACAGTCATCTAAATCCAGGTACTCAAGGGTGGCTGCAACTTTTTCTAGGAGAATTTGGAGAGGCACAAGACTGTAATTGGTCAGTCTGATGCCACTCAGGTCCAGGGTCTTTAGTTGACTGATACTCGGGCACTGGGATAGATGCTTCAAGTCTGATTCCAAAAGCACACAGTTAGTTATTGTGAGGACCTTTAACGAGGTCTTCAGACAGCTGGGGAGAGAGAGCAAGAAGTTAATTCTGGGGAATCATAGGGGTGAGTGGAGGGTGGTGGGGAATGGCTTCAAGGTAATGGATGGAGACCATTTTGCCCAAGTCCAGGATCATTCTCATGGCCGGATGGTCAACACTTCGGATGATGTGTGATGAAGAGCTTTGCCACCGAGGTCAATTCCACTTTAGGCCCGGCCCAGTAACTCACACCTGTAATCCCAGCACTTTGGGAGGCTGAGACTGGTGGATTCCTTGAGATCAGGAGTTTGAGACCAGCCTGCTGAACATGGCAAAACCTCGTCTCTACTAAAAATCCAAAAATTAGCCAGGTGTGGTGGCGGGAGCCTGCAATTCCAGCTACTTGGGAAGCTGAGGCAGAAGAATCGCTTGAACCCAGGAGGTGTAGGTTGCAGTGAGCAGAGATCATGCCACTACACTCCAGCCTGGGTGACAGAGTGATACTCTATTAAAAAAAAAAAAAGGAGAAAAAATAATTCCATTTCAGGCTGAGTCATTTCACCATCATTTATAGGAATGGATCAAGTTCACAGAATCCCTAAAGCTCCCTTTCCTCATCTGTCAGGCAGAAAACCACATCCCTGGGCCACAGAAGCCCAGTGGAGATGCAGGCATAAAGGACAAACCCAGACAGGATCCTGCAACATCAGCTGGGGTGGGCAGGCTGCAGGCGTCCCTGACACACCTGTATCATCAGCAAACCATCTATCACTTTCATCATTCTTTGTGCCTGCTCCCTGACCCTCTGTTTCAGAATCATACATTTCCTAGGTAATTAATTTACCTGGAGCTCAAAAGAAACTTTTACAATGGGAATTAGAGATGGGATCATTCATGTTCACCAAACTGTGGGGCACAAAGCTGATTTTCTGACATGTGCAGGTTTGCTGAGCATTCCCCTCTTCAGTGCCCACTTCACTTCCCTACTTCACATCATCTTCTTAAAAATTATCTTGTTGGCTGGGCGTGGTAGCTCTCGCCTATAATCCCAGCACTTTGGGAGTCCAAGGTGGGTGGATCACCTGAAATCAGGGGTTGGAGAATAACCTGGCCAAAATGGTGAAAACCTGTCTCTACTTAAAATATAAAAATTAGCCAGGTGTGGTGGCCCACGCCTGTAATCCCAGGTACTCAGGAGGCTGAGGCAGGAGAATCGCTTGAACCTGGGAGGCAGAAGTTGCTGCGAGCTGAGATGTCACAAGTGCACTCTACCCTGGATGATCAAAGTGAAAATCCATCTCAGAAAAAAAAGTTATCTTGTTTGATTTTACTTTTATTTATTCATTTCTGACAGGGGTCTTGGGATGTTACCCAGACTGCTCTTAAACTCCTAGGCTCAAGCTATCCTCTTGCCTCAGACTCCCAAACTGCTAGGATTACAGGCATGAGCCAACGCCCCTGGCCTATTTTTCATCATCTTAACTTAGACACACATCCTCAGGAAGAATTCAGAAAGGCACCCTCACTAGATCTGAACCCCCCAGTAGCTAGCTTCCTAGCATGGCAGCCTCTCTATAGCATCTCCCCTGACTGATCCCTCTGACTCTATTGGGAGGGTTGCATGATACCCATTTCAGGACAGGGCCGCCAACAGGACAATGCATGGACATTCTAGTGTCCCCTTCACTGTTACATCCTCATAGGCTGGCTCACAGTAGATGCCCACTAGTGTTCACTGTAACAGGCTCTGCTGTGGTCTGCAGAGAAAGCTCACCACCCTCCCTCACCTGAGCAGCTGGTCCAGGTGGCCTTCGAGGAAAGAAACAGAGTTCATATAAAGCTTTTGGAGGCAGCGCAGCTTGAGGAACTGAGTGGTGAACTGGGTAACAATCTCCTTCTTCTGCTCTGGGGAAACGTAGCGAGAGACATCCATGTGGGAGAGAACGAGCTTCTGAAGATTCCTCAAGTGGCCCAGGTATGGGGTAAACTGTGTCAGGATGGGCAGTATCCACTTGCAATTCACTTCCACCTCCTGGATACAGTCTAGGTTCACCATTTTCAGGATGCTTCTGATATTGCGGAAGGGCATTCCCAAAATTTTCAGCTTCTTACAGCACAGGTGTAGTAAATCTCTCCTCTGCTTGACCCATAGAAGGAGGCAGGTGAGGTATTCATCCAGAGTCCTGTTCTTGAGCCAAAGTTCTACAAACACAGTCAAGGGCTGCCGTCCTCTCATCCTTGGACAGTCCTGCACTGGTTTTTTGTTCCTCTTGGCATTGAGGAAGCACCCATGGGCCATAGCTTCAGACCAAACCATCCAGAAGTTCTCACAGACATCCTGTAAATCCAGCACTTGAAGTTTCCATCTCCTGTGGGAAAATAGAGGTGAGACTGAGAATTTAAGAACTCATTTCTGAACTTAAACTCCACATCCTGCATAGCAGCTCCTCCCCTCCCTGCTTGTTGTCCCTCTCTCTGAGTTTTCTTCACCCTGTTTTCCCCTTGGATCCTACCCACTTCCACATTTTTTTGTTTTTTTTTTGAGACCAAGTCTCCTTCTGTCGCCCAGGCTAGAGTGCAGTGGTGTGATGTCACCTCACTGCAACCTCTTCTTCCCGGGTTCAAATGATTCTCCTGCCTCAACCTCACAAGTAGCTGGGATTACAGGAACCCACCACCATGCCCAGCTAATTTTAGTATTTTTAGTAGAGTTGGGGTTTACCATGTTGGACAGGCTGGCCTCCAACTCTTGACCTCAGCCTCCCAATGGGCTGGGATTACATTGTGAGCCACCGTGCCCGGCCCAGTTCTCACTTTTCATGGTGCCTTTCAGTGCCATTAGAGGAGAGGTTCCTGTTACCTCTATGGACCTTGCCTGGTGAGCAGTGCTTTCCCTGAGGAGCTGGTGAATGGCCAAGTCCTCTCGGCTTCCTCACCACCACCATCCCCCTTGGGCCTCCTCACTTCACATGACCCAGCTGTTCCTTCAGTTGGACACCTGGGCCCTCCCCACCAGCCCACCTGGGCCACCTCACCTGGGACGAACCCCTTGGGTAAGCAGTGCATCCAGCCCATCGAGCACAGCTTGGAAGGCCTCCAGACAAGGCATCTTTATCAGAGGCCTCAGAGGGAGGCGGCGGAAGGGCCAGGCCTGCACCATCAGCTTCAGGGCCTCACAGCGTCTCCTGCTGAAGGCCTCCATGAACAGTGGGGGGAAAAGTTCCGTGGGCAGCTCCTCCAGGGTGGAGACGGCCAAGGCTTGGTCCCTCAGCAGGCTCCGCCCCGCAAGCTCCAGGAGTCTGGGTGGAATCCGGATGCTCATCTTCATGAATCTGCAGGGAAAACTTCCAGAGGACAAACCCAGAGAAAAGGCATCACTCTCAGGCCAAGCCCATGCAATCTCATCTTCTCCCAGGGCCAAAGTCACTGCTCTGGCAATGGTGAAACAGCCCTCAGTTTACTCCAATTCTACTCTGTACTCAGTGGCCATTAAGCCAGCATTCTGCCTCTGCTGCATCAGCATGAGCGTCTCCGAAGCAGTGAGGAAGCAGGGCCACCACGAGCCCTTCCTTTCTATCCAGTGCTCCATCCAGTGACTAGTGAGTGTGGAGGAACCTGAAAGTGAACCCCTCCTACCATTGGGGGAAATTATTAATTACTTAAGGTTCTAAAACAATGGGAATGGGAGTGTCACAAGCCTACATGCCCACAATTTCAGTTCCTAAAAATAAGCTTGTTGGGAACATTCATGGGGCATCCCTAGAACAGGTTCTATTTGTTTTCTTTTCATTATTTAAGCTTGCTTTCTCTTTCTCTCTTTCTTTTTTCCTTCTTTCCCTCTCTCCCTCCCTTCTTTCTTTCTTTCCTCCTCTCTCTCCCTTCTTTCTTTCTTGTCTTCTTTCCCTGCCTCCCTTCTCTCATTCTCTCTCTCTTTCTCTCTCTCCCTCTCTCACTCTCTTTCTGACAGGGTCTTGCTGTCACCCAGCCTGGAGTGTAGTGGTGGGATCTCAGCTCAGTGCAGCCTTGACCTCCCAGCTCAAAGGATTCTTCCTCCTCAGCCTCTCAAGTAGCTGGGACCACAGTTATGCATCACCACACCCAGCTCATCTTTTATTTTTTGACTTTTTGTAAAGACAGTGGATTTCGCTATGTTGTCCAAGCTGGTCTTGAACTCCTAGTCTCAAGCAATCTACCCCTCTTGGCCTCCCAACATAGTGGGATTATAGGTGTGAGCCTCCGCCCCAGCCTCATTATTGAAAATTTCAGTGAGATGCAGTGGTCTCCGCCTGTAGTCCAAGCTAATAGGGAGGCTGAGGTAGGAGGATCACTTGAACCCAGGAGGCAGAAGTTGCAGTGAGCTGACATTATACCACTCCACTCCAGCCTGGGAAATAGGCTAGATTGAACAGAGAGACAGAGAGAGCTACATTTGATTAGAATTCTTAATCTCTACCCAGTTAATCCTGATTGGATTTCTGACTTTCTTAAATATTAACTGATCGAATTAGATATTCATCCATCAAAATGAAAGATTTAGGGATAGGGTGAAAGTCCAGGACTCATTCACTGATTCCCTTCACAAACATGGAGTTTTACTAATATGTGTCCTTCAAAGTCCTGAGTGTGAGATAGGGAAGGGTTGAACCTCTTCCTGATATTAGACAGAAAGAAAGAAAACTTGAAAGTATCTTTGTTGAGGGATCCTTGGCCATGTCAAATTTATCAAAATATTTCAGAGTTAAAACAGTTTTCAAAGACAGAGATGACAGTCCCTAAGAAAACACAGTAGAAATCTTCATATATCCAAAGATCACCTAGGTGGCGTAATTCTTTTTGGTGTTGAGGGAGCTGAATCTCACTTCATCGGCCAGGCTAGAGTGCAGTGGTGTCATATCGGCTCACTGTTACCTCGGCCTCCAAGATTCAAGCAATTCTCATGCTTCAGCCTTCCACGTAGCTGGGACTACAGGCATGCACCCCCCACAGCCATGTCTCCATTTGGGTGGAAGAGGATGTGATTGGTTTAAAATTAAGGTCAAAGATCCTTTTTGATTGATTTTGTTTTTGTTTTTTGGACAGGGTGTCTCTCTTTTGCCCAGGCTGGAGTACAGGAGTGGTATGAGCATGGCTCACTGCAGCCTCAATCTTCTGGGCTCAAGTGATTCTCCCACACCAGCCACCCAAATAGCTGGGACTACAGATGCATGTCACCATGCTCGGCTAATTAAAAAAAAAAAAAGTAGAGGCCAAGCACCAGTGACTCACAGCTGTAATCCCAGCACTTTGGGAGGCCAAGGCAGGTGGATCACTTGAGGTCAGGTGTTCGACACCAACCTGGCCAGCATGGTGAAACCCCACCTCTACTAAAAATACAAAAATTAGCGAGGCATGGTTTCAGATGTCTGTGACACCAGCTTCTGAGGATGGAGACTGAGGCATGAGAATTGCTTGAACCCGGGAGGTAAAGGTTGCAGTGAGTTGAGATCATGCCACTGCACTCCAGTCTGGGCAACACAGTGAGACTCCATCCCCACCCTCAAAAAAAAAAAAAAACGTTGTGTAGAGGAGGGCTTTTGTCATGTTGCCCAGGTTGGTCTCAAACCCCTGGGCTGAAATGATCCTCCCACTTTGGCCTCCCAATGTGTTGGGGTTAAAGGCATGAGTCACTGCTCCCTTCAAGAATTTTGAAATGACATCAACCAAAGCACAATCAACTTTTTTGAAATAAAGACAGAACTGCATTTAGAGGAAAAAATTCAAAGCTTCAAATTGTTCATATGAGAAAAAAAAAGGACAGGATATAGCTCTGTGCCATCGTAGGCTGCACTGTCACCATCCCAGACTGACTGACTGTAGGTCAGATGGGAGTGTCCTTACAGAAATTAGTGACTTACCAGATCTGGATGTAGTCTAGAAGGTGCTCAGACCTCAGGAAGAACCAAGCAGGAACTCCAGGCTTGAAGACTTTGGGTCTCTCCTGTGGGTCTTTAGAAGATTTTATTGACCTTTCTAATCACAACTCCCACCCATGCCCTTCCACGTTTGCACTGCTAGCTTCCAATCAAAAAGCAATATCTGATTGCATTTGTGAAGCTCCATCCAGTTAATCCTGATTGGGTTTTTGGCTCTCCCCAGATTAATGGATTGAGTCAGATATCCGTTCATATCACATATCTATATTCAGTTCGTGAAGCAAGAAATTGACAGTGTTAGGGATAGGGTAGAAGTCAAGAATACATTCATTCAAGGGTGGGTGAGGTGGCTCATAGCTGTAATTCCAGCACTTGGGAAGGACAAGGTGAGTAGATCACCTGATGTCAGGGGTTCAAGACGAGCCAGGTCAAAAAGGTGAAACCCTGTCTCTACAAAAATACAAAAATACAAAAATTAGCTGGGCATGATGGCAGGCACCTGAAACCCAGCTACTTGGGAGGCTGAGGCAGGAGAATTGCTTGAACCCAGGAGGCAATGGTTGCAGTGAGCCAGAATTGTGCCACTGCACTCCAGTCTGGGTGACAGAGGGAGATTCTGTCAAAAAATAAAAAAATCATTCATTCATGAACTCCAGAAACACTGATGGCATTTTACTAATATGTGAACTTCATAGTCTTGAGTGTGAGGCAGGGACGGATTTGATCTGTTACGACATTAGACAGAAAAATAAAATCTGAAAGTAGTGTTGTTAGGAGATCTTTGGCCACATCAAAATATAAAAATGCTTTCTACTTTAAAAAGCTTTATAAAAACAGAGGAGTCATCCCTACGAAATCAGAATAAAAATCTCAATGTATTGAATGGTTTTTGGGATTTTGTGTAACCTAAGGTAGCAGATTACATGCTCGTTCTGGTGGAGGAGAGGTGCCACTGAGGGCGTGAGTGGTCTCAGGGCTTAGGTTAAGGCTTCTTTGGAAGAAATTGAAACCACATCTCTAAAGTTTATAAATTTAATCAGTGAAGAAGGGAGGGAGAGAAACAAAAATAAACGAAGCTTGCAACACATTCAGCCTTCATCAGGAGGTCTTCTTGCTCTCTGAACTGGTTCCTCATGGTTGCTGGCAGCCTACTGTTCCAAAATCATATAGACCTTAGATTACAGTTCCCCTTAACTTCCCTGCAGACAACGATTCAAGCATTGTAAAACATTAATTTTTTCATCTGAGATATTCTTTCAGGTTCTGCATGTCAGTGAAACTGCTGATGCCAGCTGATCTGAAGGGCCATGCAATGCACCAACTCACCAAAGAATGCAGTTTCTACATCCTGTTGACTTCTTCCCTCTTACCGCTACCCCAACTTTCCGGCCTCTTGCTATCCAGGATCCACTGGAAACCTTCAGTACTCCTTGGGGAGATGAATTTGAGGATCTCCTCCTAGCTTCTCATTCAGCCACCTTGTGATCATTAAACTCTCTGCTGCAAACCCTGCTGTCTCAGAATATTGCTAAGCTACTGTGCAGCAGGCATAGGAACCTGATGGTCCTGTAATAAAGTCATGTCAAAATTACAAATGGAAGTGAGGGTGGAGCTGGTCAGGGTTGAGCTGGGTTTTTAATGGGAACCTGGGAGTGAAGCAAGACTTGCTGAACATGTTGGGGGTTATTGAGTGGGTGTAAGAGGAATCTATCTAACATTGCACTGATGCCCTTTTGGTTTTAATCCTTATGACCAAGTATGAGTCTTTCAAAACAATTTGTATAATCCTCCTTATTTTTCCTTTCAAAACCTTCAACTTCCTTTATCTCCCCAAATAATCTCGCATCTATTGCCACTTCTTTGCTTACTTCATAATAAACATTTTTTTTTACAGAGTCTTCTTCTCTGTTAAGTAGACCATATATTTTGTTGCCACACAAGATGAGTAACATGGTTCTATGGACAGAAAGGGTCGAAAGGATCCCATTCCTCAACAGCTGGGGGTGATGTAAAGGTCATGGTTATTCTTTGTCATATCTGCACCTGCATTTTGCCAGTGAAAACTTGCAGGTCACATTGGGCAGGCTCCCAAATTCACCACCTGTGGAAGGTCTTTCGATTGGCTTACATCCTGTCCCTGAGTAAAGAGTCTGATTGTGAGTTCATGAGTGCTTCAAACTCTACAAGTATTGATGAAGGCTTCCACCCACTGACAGTGAGAAGGCACTGATTTGATGCTGATCATGAAGTTTTGCTGGTTGTCTTGCAAGGAATATGTTTTATTCTTTTATCGTGTCATCTAAAGCCAATGATTGTAACCTCTGTATTGTCCCTTCCAATGGAAAAAACAAAAACAAAAACTCAACTCTATTTGACCCTTGTCAGGTCAATAAAACAAAAGAAAAGTTAAAAAAATAATTGATAGGAGGAGTCCCATTCCCAGCCTGGGCAATAGAGTGAGACTCCATCTCAAAAGGAAAAAAAAAAAAAAAGGCCGGGCATGGTGGTGGCTCACACCTGTAATCCCAGCACTTCAGAAGGCCAAGGCAGGTAGATCACGATGCCAAAAAATTGAGACCATCCTAGCCAACATGGTGAAACCCTGTCTTTGCTAAAAATACAAAAATTAGCTGAGCATGGTGGCACCCACCCATAGTACTAGCTACTCGAGAGACTGAGGCAGGAGAGTCGCTTGAACTCAGGAGGAGGAGGTTGCAGTCAGCCAAGATTTCACCACTGCACTCCAACTTGGTGACAGAGCGAGACTGTCTCAAAACAAACAAACACAAACGAACAAACAAAGAAAAAAGCTGGAAAAATAAATTCTGAAAGAATTTCCATCTCTATGAATTCATCTTCAGAAGTGATAGCATTTCCTGCTTGGCATTTTTTGCCTACATTTTTGGCATAAGATCTATCAACAAAAAGTATGAACCCAGGTTTGTGTAATGGAATATCTTAAACATCAATAGGAGGAGTCAATAGTTCTGATGCCACACACACACACACGTATGGTCTTCTCCACCATCAGAAAATGGCAACAAAGTGGTAGAGTTATGCAGAGTGTAGCATTTGAAATGGAGATTTGAAGGTGACAAGGAAAGGATTTTGTAAGACATTAGTGTACAAGTTGAGCAATGTTGGTTCCTGTCACAATATTTTTATTGATTTATTTATTTTATTCATTTATTTTTTGAGATGGAGTCTCACTGTGTCACCAGGCTGGAATGCAGTGGCACGATCTCAGCTCACTTCGACCTCTGCCTCCCCGGTTCAAGCAATTTTCCTGCCTTAGCCTCCTAAATAGCCGGGACTACAGGTGCATGCCACTACACCTGGCTAATTTTTTGTATTTTTAGTAAAGACGGGGTTTCACCATGTTAACTAGGATGGTCTCAATCTCCTGACTTCGTGGTCTGTCTGCCTCGGCCTCCCAAAGTGCTGGGATTACAGGCCTCAGCCACCATGCCTGGTCGATTCACATCAAAATTTAAGAGGTACTCAATTGCATATGAAACTTGTAGGCAAAGTTTATTTCTTTTTTCTTTAAAGCATTAATTAATTTATTTATTTATAATGTATTTATTTATTAATTTTTTTTTGAGATAGAGTTTCATTCTTGTTTTCCAGGCTGGAGTACAATGGTGCGATCTCGGCTCACTGCAACTTCTGCCTCCTGGTTCAAGTGATTCTCCTGCCTCAGTCTCCCAGTTAGCTGGAATTACAGGCACAGACCACCACACACAGCTAGTTTTTGTATTTTTAGTAGAGAGAGAGTTTCACCATGTTGCCCAGGCTGGTCTGGAACTCCTGACCACAGGTGATGCACCCACCTCGGCCTCTGAAAGTGCTGAGATTACAGGCGTGAACCAGTTAGTGCCTGGCCTAAACTCATCACTTTTAATACTTTCTACATCACATGAGGAAGAAGAGCAGAAACACTTGAGTACTTCATGAAGGTCAAGGTTGGTATGAGTTTGGGTTCTAATATGATCAATTTCTGCTTCTAGGGAACCAAGCAGCTCAGGTTAAGGAAGGTCAGGAAACTCTAGGGTTTTCTCTCCCTCCAAAGAAAGCTTTACGCATCACCTTAACGGAGAAAGCAAATCTCATCCCCATGTTGTCACTTAATAAAAAGCCATACTTTCCTAAAAATGGTCCAAATGTCATTTGGACTGCTTCAAACACAGGAATTTTCTGAACTTCATGTGAAACCCCTCCTCAGAAATATTTTCCTTTCTCCAAGGGATTTGCTGATATATTGGCTGTAAACTGGATATGGCAGCCCTGGTTTCCACCAATTCTGTACCTAAGTCTGCAATGATCTTAATCTCAGCTTCTCCATTTTTATTTAAGGCTATTATAGAAAACAATTTACCAGAGAGTTATTTTAAATTCCATCAATATGGAGACATCAGAAATGTCCTCTAGCCAGATGTGGTGGCTCATGCCTGTAATCCCAGCACTTTGGGAGGCTGAGGTGGGGGAATAACCTGAGGTTGGGAGTTCGAGACCAGCCTAACCAACATGGAGAAACCCTGTCTCTACTAAAAATACAAAATTAGCCAGCTGTGGTGGTGCATGAATGTAATCCCAGCTACTTGGGAAGCTGAGGCAGGAGAATCACTTGAACTCAGGAGGTGGAGGTTGCAGTGAGCTGAGATCCCACCATTGCACTCCAGCCTGGGCAACAATAGTGAAACTCTACCTCAAAAAAAAAAAAAAAAGGCAGAAAAGTAAAGAAAAACAAAAAAGAAATCTCCTCTAATGTGAACAACCTGTGGGACAAAACATTCTGTCCAATAGAGACCTGGTGCATAGGTGGACAATTTTCATTCCAATGGCCTGTTTCAAAGGTGGCAGGCAACTCTAGCAGGGTTTCTGTGTTTACACCAAACTGGATTTGAGTTTTAATAGTAAGGGGAGTTCCCCCATAAAAAACCAACAGAAAATAATGGATGCTATGAAGAATATGGAGAAATGAGAACCCTGGTACAACATTGGTAGTTATGTAAATTAGTACAGCTACTATGGAAAGCAGAATGGAGCTTCCTCCAAAAAATAAAAATAGGATTACCATATAAACCATAAATCCCACTGCTGGACATATATCCAGAAAAAAAAAAAGTAATATATCCAGGAGATATCTACACTACCATGTTGGTCAGGCTGGTCTTGAACTCCTGACCTCAAGTAATCCACCTGCCTCAGCCTCCCGAAATTCTGGGATTACTGGCATGAGCCACTGCACTCAGCCTGCACTCTCCTATTTATTGCAGCACTATCCACAATAGCCAAAATTTGGAATCAACGTAAGTGTCCATCAGCAGATGAATGGATCAAGAAAATGTGGTAAATATACACAACAGAATATCACTGAGCCGTAAACATGAAGGAAATCCAGTTATCTGCGACAACATGGAAGGAACTGGAGGGCGTTATGTTGAGTGAAGTAAGCCAGATACAGAAAGACAAACATGGCATGTTCGCACTCATATTTGGGAATTAAAAAACATGAAACTTAAAAATAGTAAAATGATGGTTATCAGAAGCTAGGAAGGGTACTGGGAAATAGAGAATAAGAAGGGGATGGTTAATGGGAACAAAAACACAGACAGGAATAAGATCTAGGGTTTAGTAGCACAATAGGGCAACTCATGTTGACAATAGTTCGTAGTAAATTTCTACATAATTAAAATAATGGAATTGGAATGTTGCTAGCAGAAAGAAAAGATAAATTCTTGAGATGGTGGATATCCCAGTTACCATGATTTGAATATTACACATTTTATGCTTGTATCAGAATATCAGGCCAGGTGCAGTGGCTCATGTCTACAATCCAAGCACTTTGGGAGGCTGAGGCAAGTGGTTTTCCTGAGGTCAGGGGTTCGAGACCAGACTGGCCAACATGGTGAAACCCCCTTTCTACTTAAAATACAAAAATTAGCCAGGTGTGGTGGCGGTGCCCTGTAGTCCCAGCTACTCAGGAGGCTGAGGTAGGAGAGTTGCTTGAACCCAGGAGGGTGATTTCTAGAGACTTCTGATACATAAATGTCTAAAACAAGTTGATCAATCGTGGAAGACACCAGAAAGTTTCCATTCAGGTTCCATTTATTTTTGACATTTTTAAATAACCATCCTTGCGGTGGCAACTCCTGCATCAGTCTAGAACTTCAGGCTCCATTTCTGAGTCTAGAACACAGGTCCCTGAAGGCCTCATTGATTCCAAGTCAGCATTTTTACCCAGTCCTGCCCCCGGCTGAGTCACCTTTGTTTTTCCACTCGCGGTGAGCACGTACCTGAAACACACAGCTGTGTGCTTCCTTTAAGAAACGGCTGACCGGGCCCAGCTGCACACACTTGTAAACCTGGAACTGTGGAAGGCCAAGGCAATCAGATCACTTGAGGTTAGGAGTTAGAGGCCAGCCTCCGCCAACATCGTGAAACCCTGTCTCTACTAAAAATACAAAAATTAGCCGGGCTTGGGGCCCACACCCATAACACCAGTTACTTGGGAGGCTGAGGCAGGAGAATGACTTGAACCCAGGAGGCAAAGCTTGCCATGAGCTGAGATTGTGCCACTACACTTCATCCTGAGGGACAGAGTCAGACTCTGTCTCAAAAATAAAATAAAATAAAATAAAAATATAAAAAATTAAATTAAATTAAAATTAAAAATGCACCCATGTACAAGATTTTAGTTCCCAAGTGTCCGGAAGAAAGCTTATCCATCCCACTAACCAGGCCTTCCCTAGGAGCACATGGAACTCCAGTTTCTCAGATGGCCATGAGCCACAGGAAGGGCAGGGGGTGGGACCAAAGAAGATCCTCCTGAGGCCAAGGCGGGCGGATCACGAGGTCAGGAGATCGAGACCATCCCGGCTAAAACGGTGAAACCCCGTCTCTACTAAAAATACAAAAAATTAGCCGGGCGTAGTGGCGGGCGCCTGTAGTCCCAGCTACTTGGGAGGCTGAGGCAGGAGAATGGCGTGAACCCGGGAGGCGGAGCTTGCAGTGAGCCGAGATTGTGCCACTGCACTCCAGCCTGGGCGACAGAGCGAGACTCCGTCTCAAAAAAAAAAAAAAAAAAAAAAAAAAAGAAGATCCTCCTGTTCTGCCTGACTTCCCTGAGTGTACGCATCAGCTCAGCCGTAATTGGGGTGAGGATCTCCCAATTGGCATGACCCCTGTTGTCAAGACACTCCAGAGGGGCAGGATACATGTCCAGGCCTAACTTGCTCAGCCTGCCTGTGTGACGCAGCAGGTCTTTCAGAGCATTCGTGGAGGTCTCATTTCCATGAAAGTAGAAGGTGGTGAGCTGGGAACAGTGGCTCAGGGCAGGCAGGGGGACCCTGAGTTGGGGGGCCTGGATCCGACAGTCCTCTAAGACGAGGGTCTTGAGAGTAGCAGCAACTTTCTCCAGCAGAGCTCCAAGGGGCTCAAGATTGGTGGTCCACATTAGGATATGAATCAGACGCAGCTCCTTTAGCTGACTGAGGCTTGGGTACTGAGACAGACACTCCATGTCCCGATCAGCTAGGTAAGCATCACTGAATGTAAAGGCCCCCAAGGGGTTCTTGAGGTACCTGGGGAGAGCAAGAAGTTAGTTATGGGCAATGGTGCCAGTTAGAGGAGGGGGGTGGGAAATCATCTCAATGGTAAACTTGAAGTGGGCATTGAGTAATTCTGCACCTTACTACCACACAGGTGTTATAGTAACTGCAATAGGGAAGCCTGTTTCACCCAAACACAAGTTTGTTCCCATCACCAGATGATGGTCTGCGTGCAAGGTGCTGCCTGATGAAGACTCAGATCATTCAGGGGCAGCTCTATTTTAGGCTCAGTCCTTTCAGCCTCGCTTGTGTGATTGGTACCACTCTCACACCTACTCCCTCACCCTCCATCCCAGAAGCATGCACTTCCCGTATCAATTACCTTTCCTGGAGTTCAAAACAACCTTTCACAGACAAGGAATTACAGACAGGATCATTGGTGTTTATTAAGCTGCTGAGGACGGAGCTTCTACTGTGAAATGCACAGGTTTCATGCACTTTCCCTTCTTCTTTTTCTTTTCTTTTCTTTTTTTTTTTTTGACACAGAGTCTCACATTGTAACTTAGGCTGGATTACAGTGGCACAATCTCAGCTCACTGCAGCCTTCACTTCCCTTGCCTCAGCCTCCCAAGTAGCTGGGATTACAGGTGCCTGGCACCATGCTCAGCTAAATTTTGTATTTTTAATAGAGATAGGGATTCACTGTGTTGGTCAGGGTGGTCTGAAACTCCTGACCTCGTGATCTGCCTGCCTCAGCCTTCCAAAGTCCTGGGATTACAGGCATGAGACATCACACCAGACTGCACTTTCCCTTCTTTCATACCCTCTTCTTTATGAAGAATACGTTTTCATCATATTAACTTTATACACACTTCCTAAGGAGGAATTCACAAATGCCCCTTCACTAGATGTGAATCCCCAACTAACTAGCTCCCTATACATCTCTCTCTGTAGCATCTACCCCAGGCCATCCCTCTGCCCTTATTTGAGTGGTCTTGTGATACCAACTTCAGGATATAGAGCACTGAACAGCTTAATGAGTTGACATTCTAGCATCCCATTCCCTGTGACATCCTCAGTGGATGGCACACAGTAGATGCCCACTAACATTTACTGTGAAAAAGAACAAAAGTCTGTGTTATGGTCTGCACAGAAAGCCCACCATCGTTTCCTACCTGAGCAGGTGCTCCAGGTGCTCTTTGATATTACTGACCTTTCTTATATAATGCATCTGGGGGTAGTACAGGCACAGGAATGGCCAATCCAAGTCAGGAATGAACTGCCATTGGCCGCTCACGTATAATTCAGGCTCATAACCGAAGGCTAAAAAGTTTGCAAAGATTGCTCATCTGGCTCAGGTAAGGGGCAAACTTTCCCGTTTTATTGAGAGAGCACTTTTTCCAGACTTCCAACTCCTGGATACTATCTGGGTATATCCTTTCCAATAGATTTCTGAAACTTGAAGTGGGCATTGAGTAATTCTGCACCTTACTACAACACAGGTGCACTAGGCCTCTTCTGTAGTGGATCCACCTTCAGAGGTAGCTCAGGCATTCATGCAGTGTACTTTCCTTCAGGCAGAGGTCTATGAACACCTTCAAGGGCTGGCACTCTCCCATCCTTGGACAGTTCTCCACTGTCTGCCTCTTACTCATGGCCTCTGGGGAGCAGGGGAGGACCCTGACTCCAGACCATATGGTCCAGAAATTCTCATCAACATCCCTCAAATCCAGCACTTGAAGTTTCCACCTCCTGTGAGTAACATAAGGGAAAAGCTCAGAATGTAGGCAAGGACCGACCCTTGACCTGAACTTTCACTCCGCATCCAGGACATGAGTCAGCTGCTCCTGTCCCAGTGCTCCTCCTTCTGTCTTTTCTCCATCCTGTTCCCCCTTGGATTCTGCATGGTACCCACTTCTAGTACCTTTACCTTCCACTGGGAGGAAGCAGGTTCCTGTTTCCTCAGTGGACCCTGTATGGTAAGCAGTCCTTTTCCAGAGGATCTGGGCAATGGCCAAGGCTTCTCATGGGCACCATCAGAAGCCTCTGAGCCACCCTAGCTCCCACACACTGCCACTCCTCCTGAGCCAGCTGTCCCTTCCCTGGATGTCTGGACCCTTCCCACCAGGCCACCTGAGTCACCTCAACTGGGGCAAACCTTCTGGGACACTAGTGTATCAAGTCCCTTCAGCACAGCTTGCAAGGTCTCCAGATGAGTTGTCTTCATCAGGGATCCCAGAGGGAGGTGAAGGGAGGGCCAGGCCTGCACCATCAGCTTCAGGGCCTCACAACATCTCATGCTGAAGGCCTCCATGAACAGAGGGGAGACCTCCCTGGGCAGCTCATCCAGGGTGAAGATAGTCAAGAACTGGTTCCTCAGCAGGCTCTGCCCTGCCAGCTCCAGGAGTCTGGATGGGGTCTGGAGGCTCATTCTGACAAATCTACAAGGAAAAACTCTACAGCACAATCCAGCAAAAAGGCAAGTTCCTCAGACCAATCCCCTGCAACCCCCAATTCTCCCAGGGCCAAAGTCATTTCTCTAGCGTGTGTGAAAGAGCCCTTAGTTTACTCCAGTTCCTTTCTGCAATAAGTGGCCACAGAGACACAGTTCTACCCTTCTGGTACCATGAAGAATGTGTCCCAACTTCTAAAGAGCAGGCAAGATCCCTCGTAGTCCATGAATTATTAGCCACTGATCCACTAAACTCATAGCACTGGCAAATGTTACCGAGGATCTCTGAAGCTCAGATCTCGTACCCAGCTAATCTTTTATTTTTTGACTTTTTGTAAAGACAGTGGGTTTCACTATGTTGTCCAGGCTGGTCTTGAACTCCTAGACTCAAACAATCCACCCACTTTGGCCTCCCAAAGTGCTGGGATTGCAGGCATGAGCCTCTGCCTGGTCTCATTATTGAAAATTTCAGCGAGAAGCTTTGAAAGCTATGTGACAGTGTTATGCATCATTGGCAAGACACAGATGTTTCCAATACACACCTCTCACACATATTCAAAATGAACCACTTTGGCTGTGTGCAGTGACTCACACCTGTAATCCCAGCACTCTGGGAGGCAGAGGCAGGTGGATTATCCGAGGTCAGGAGTTTGAGACCAGCCTGGCCAACATGGTAAAACCCTACCTCTACCAAAATTAGAAAAATTAGCAAGGTGCAGTTGTCTGTGCCTATAATCCAAGCTACTAGGGAGGCTGATGCAGGAGGCTCGCTTGAACCCAGGAGGCAGAGGTCGCAGTGAGCTGACAATACTCCACTGCACTCCAGCCTGGGAAATAGGCTAGATTCAAAGAAAAAAAAAAAAAGAAAAGAGAGAGAACTACATTTGATTCGACTTCTTAAACTCTACCCAGTTAATCCTGATTGGATTTTTGGCTTTCTTCCAGATTAACTGATTGAATTAGATATTCATCCATCAGAGTGAAAGATTTAGGGATAGGGTGAAAGTCCAGGACTCATTCACTGATTCCCTCCACAAACATGGAGGTTTACTAATATGTGTCCTTCATAGTCCTGAGTGTGAGATAGGGAAGGGTTGAATCTCTTCCTGATATTAGATAGAAAGAAAGAAAACTTGAAAGTATCTTTGTTGAGGGATCCTTGGCCACATCAAATTTATCAAAATTTTTCAGAGTTAAAACAGTTTTCAAAGACGGAGTTGACAGTCCCCAAGAAAACACAATAGAAATCTTCATGTATCCAATGATCACCTGGGTGGTATAATCTCATTTTTTTTGGTGTGGGTGAAGCTGAATCTCACTTTGTCGCCCAGGCTGGAGTGCAGCGGCTCCATCTCAGCTCACTGTAACTTCCGCCTCTGAGATTCAAGCAATTCTCATGCTTCAACCTTCCACGTAGCTGGGATTACAGGCATGCACCCCCACACCCATGTCTCCATTCGGGAGGAAGAATTACAGTGAGGATGTGATTGGTTTAAAATTAAGGTCAAAGATTCTCTTTGGTTAAGGTTTTTTGTTTGTTTGTTTTTGTTTTGTTTTTGTTTTTAGCAGGGTCTTACTCTGTTGCCCAGGCTGGAGTACAGCAGTGGTGTGAGCATGGCTCACTGCAGCCTCAATCTTCTGGGCTCAAGTGATTCTCCCATGTCAGCAAACCAAATAGCTGGGAATACAGACGCATGCTACCATGCCTGGCAAATTAAAAGATATATATATTTTGTAGAGGCTGACCACCATTGGCTCAAGGCTGTCATTCCAGCACTTTGGGGGGCTGAGGCAGGAGGATCACTTGATGTCAGGAGTTTGAGACCAACCTGGCCAGCATGGTGAAACCCCACCACTACTAAAAATACAAAAATTAAGCAGGCATGGTGGCAGAGGGATGTAATACCAGCTACTCAGGAAGCTGAGGCATGAAAATTGTTTGAGCCTGGGAGGAAGAGGTTGCAGTGAGTTGAGCTCTTGCCACTGCACTCCAGCCTTGGCAACAGGGTGAGGCTCCATCCCTGCTTCAAAAAAAGAATGTTTTGTAGAGCTGCGTTTTTGCCATGTTGCCCAGGTTGGTCTCAAACCGCTGAGCTCAAATGATCCTCCCGCTTTGGCCTCCCAAGGTGTTGAGGTTATGGGCATGAGTCATTGCTCTCATCAAGAATTTTGAAATGACATAAACCAAAGCACAATCCAATTTTTTGAAATAAAGACAAAACTGCATATAGAGGAAAAAATTCAAATCTTCAAATTGTTCATATATATATATAAAAGACAGATATAGCTTGGTGCCATCATAGGCTGCACTGTCCCTGTCCCAGACCGACTGACTATAGGTCAGATGGGAGTGTCCTTCCAGAAATGAGTGACTTACTAGATCTGGACTGAGTTTGCAGCATGCTTAGACCTCAGGAAGAACCAAGCAGGAACTCCAGACTTGAAGACTTTGGGTCTCTCCTGTGGGTCTTCAGAAACTTTTATTGATCTTTCTAATCACAACTCCCACCCACACCCCTCCATGTATCCAGTGCTTGCTTCCAATCAAAAAGTGCTATCTGATTGCATTTCTGAAGCTCCACCCAGTTAATCTTGATTGGGTTTTTGGCTGTCCCCAGATTACTGGATTGAATCAGATATTCATTCATATCAGCTATCCATATTAAGTTCATGAATCAAGAAATTGACAGTGTTAGGAATAGGTTGGAAATCAAGAATTCACTCATTAAAGGCCGGGTGAGGTGGGTCACACCTGTAATCCCTGCACTTTGAGAGTCCAAGTTGGCTGGATCGCCTGAGGTCAGGCGATCAAGACCTGCAAGGCCAACATGGTGAAACCCCATTTCTACAAAAACACAAAAATTAGCCTGGCATGATGGCAGGTGCCTGTAATCCAGCTACTCAGGAGGCTGAGGTGGGAGAATCGCTTGAATCCCGGAGGCAATGGTTGCAGTGAGCCAAGATTGCACCATTGCACACCGTTCTGGGTGACAGAGGTAGACTTTGTCAAAAAAATAAAAATAAAAAGAATTCATTCATTCATAAACTCCACAAACACTGATGGAATTTTACTGATATATGACCTATATAGTCCTGAGTTTGAGGCAGGGAAGGGTTTGATCTGTTCCGGATAGTAGACAGAAAAATAAAACCTGAAAGTAGTGTTGGGAGATCTTTGGCCACATTAAAATTATAAAATTGTTTTATAGTTAAAACAGCTTTATAAAAACAGAGAAGTCATCCCTACAAAATCAGAAAAAAAATCTCCATGTATCGAATGGTCTTGTGGGTTCTATATCACCTAAGGTAGCAATTTATTTGCTCACGCTGGTGGAAGAGAGGTGCCACTGAGGGCTTGAGTGGTCTCAGGGCTTAGGTTAAGGCTTGTCTGGAAGAAATTGAAACCGTATCTCTAAACTTTATAAATTTAATCAGTGAAAAAGAGAGGGGGAGGAACAAAAACAAACCAAGCTTGCAGCGCATTCAGCATTCACCAGGAGGTCAGCTTGCCCTCTGACCTGCTTCCTCATGGTTCCTGGCAGCCTACTGTCCCAAAATCATGTAGAACTTAGACTACAATTCCCCTTAACTACGCTGCAGACAACAATTTAAGCATTGTGAAACATTCACTTTTTCATCTGAGATATTCTTTCAGGTTCTGCATGTCAGTGAAACTACTGATGCCAGCTGATCTGAAGGGCCCTGCAAGGCATCAACTCACCAAAGAATGCCGTTCTGACATCGTGATAACTTCATACCTCTTATTGCCATCAAACTACACCAACTTTCCAGCCCCTTGCTATCCAGGATCCACTGGAAACCCTCAGTACTCCTTGGGGAGATGAATTTGAGGATCTCCTCCCAGCTTCTCATTCAGCCACCCTGTGATCATTAAACTTTCTGCTGCAAACCCTGCTGTCTCAGAATATTGGTAAGCTACTGTGCAGCAGGCATAGGAACCTGATGGTCCTGTAACAAATTTATGTCAAAATTATAAAGGGAAGTGAAAATGGAGGCTGGTCAGGGTTGAGCTGGGTGTTTTAATGGAATCCTGGGAGTGAACGAAGACTTGGTAAATGTGTTGGGGGTTATTGAGAGGGTGGAGGAGGAATCTTTCCAACATTGCACTGAGGGTCCCTTGGTTTTCATACTTGTGACCAAGAATGAGTCTTTCAAAAAAATTTATGTAATTCTCCTCATTTTTCCTTTCAAAACCTTTGTCTTCCTTTACCTCCCCGAATAATCTCACATCTATTCCCATGGCTTTGCTCATTTCATAATAAAAATCCTTTTTTTTTTTTCCTGTGGAGTCTCTTTCTCTGTTAAGTAGACCATATATTTTGTTGCCACACAAGATGAGTAGCCTGGTTTTATGGAGAGAAAGGGACAAAAGAATCCCAATCCTCAACAGCTAGGGGTGATATGAAGGTCAGGATTATTCTTTGTCATATCTGCACCTGCATATTGCCAGTGAAAACCTGCAGGTCACATTAGGTAGACTTCCAAATTGATCATCTGTGGAAGGTCTTATGATTGGCTTACATCCTGTCCCTGAGTAAAGAATCTGATCTTGACTTCATGAGTGCCTGAGACTCTTCAAGTACTGATGAAGGCTTCACCCAGTGACAGTGAGAAGGACACTGATTTGATTCTGATCGTGAAGTTTTGCTGGTTGTCTTGCAAGGAAAATATTTTTGCCTGTCATGTTGTCATCTAAAGTCAATGATTGTAACCTCTGTATTGTCCCTTCCAATGGAAAAAACAAAAACAAAAAAGCTCAACTCTATTAGAGCCTTGCCAGGATAAAACAAAAGAAAATTAAAAAAAAAACAACTGATAGGAGGAGTCCCATCCCCTTCTTTCAACCTTTCTTATAAAAGCATTCCAACTTGCAACAAAAGACAAAATTGACAAATGGGATCTAATTAAACTAAAGAGCTTCTGCACAGCAAAAGAAACTACCATCAGAGTGAACAGGCAACCTACAAAATGGGAGAAAATTTTCACAACCTACTCATCTGACAAAGGGCTAATATCCAGAATCTACAATGAACTCAAACAAATTTACAAGAAAAAAACAAACAACCCCATCAAAAAGTGGGCAAAGGACATGAACAGACACTTCTTAAAAGAAGACATTTATGCAGCCAAAAAACACATGAAAAAATGCTCATCATCACTGGCCATCAGAGAAATGCAAATCAAAACCACAATGAGATACCATCTCACACCAGTTAGAATGGCAATCATTAAAAAGTCAGGAAACAACAGGTGCTGAAGAGGATGTGGAGAAATAGGAACACTTTTACACTGTTGGTGGGACTGTAAACTAGTTCAACCATTGTGGAAGTCAGTGTGGCGATTCCTCAGGGATCTAGAACTGGAAATACCATTTGACCCAGCCATCCCATTACTGGGTATATACCCAAAGGACTATAAATCATGCTGCTATAAAGACACATGCACATGTATGTTTATTGCGGCATTATTGACAATAGGAAAGACTTGGAACCAACCCAAATGTCCAACAATGATAGACTGGATTAAGAAAATGTGGCACATATACACCATGGAATACTATGCAGCCATAAAAAATGATGAGTTCATGTCCTTTGTAGGGACATGGATGAAATTGGAAAACATCATTCTCAGTAAACTAAATAACAAATAAACAAAACTAAACTAAACTAACAAATAAATAAACTAAATAAACAAAATAAGAAATTATTTTGGAGACAGTTGATAAAAACCATACATCCTTTTTACTGTTAAGTCATAAAGAGGTGTCAAAATTAAAAGGAAAAATTACAGGGTAAGACTTAGGACAACTACTAGGGGTGTCAAGGGAAGTGAAAATGGGACTAGGCACAGGGCAATATGAATTAATGAACATGGGAAGGACAAAGATGGGGAGAACAGTAAGCATGTGCTGAAGATACTAAGGGAGAGGATCTGGTGAAAAATTTGTTGTTAGACAAGCTCCTAGGTAAAGAAACAATGGGATAAGATTTCTCAACCCCACTATGTGCTTAAGAGTCATCCTGGCCATTGGTGCTGTCTCTGTCATCCTCTCCTTCCTCAGCCTCTTTTTCATCATCCTTGATCAACTCCAGCTGGTCATCCCCCTGATCTTCATTAACATCATCATCCAGTGGGTCCCCCTCCTCAGCAGAGTCTTCTGCACCCCCCTCAGACTCCATCTTCACATGAGTCTCATCTTTCTTCATGGAGCTACTGCTCTGCTCCTCTTCTGACTTAGCATTTTTCACCTCTACCTCTTGTTTGCTCTGTTCCTTTTCAATTTTTTCCAGGTTTTCCAGGAGAGAATCCACTTTCTGTTTTATCTGGGTCAACTCCTGCTTAATGGCCTGAAGGTCATCACCTTTCAACTTTCCAGACTTGGAAGATCCCCGCTTTCCACTCTTAGAATTGAAGCCACTTTTGCCCCTTCGTGAGGTGTTTCCTGATAGACGTTGACGTTTCGAGGGCACTACAGCCAGAGCAATGGGAGGAGGAGGAGGTACACGTGCTGGGAAACTGTACATTCCATCATAATAATCCCGTTGAAAGCCATAGTCCAAGTCAAAAGAGGAGCCGTACATCTCCGCTGCTGATCGTTTCACACCTGCGTTTCCTCGGTTCACTTTTGGCTCCGCAGCCAGGTTAATATCTACAACCTGGCTAGCAATCATTCTGCCATCCTCTCCTGCTACAGCAGCCCGGGCATTTTTCTCCTTATCATATTGAACGAAGGCAAAGCCCTTATGAACAGAGCAGCCCGCAATTTTGCCATACTTGGAAAAGATCGCCTCCACATCCGATTTCTTGACAACAAGAGTGTTGAGATTCCCAATGAACACACGGGAGTTCATGGAGTGAGGATCCATCTTGTTGGTAACGTTGCTGGCCATTGTGTTGGATGATAAGGTTTCTCAAAAAGCCAAAAACAGGAGGCGGGAGGGAGAAGAGATTCGATTCTAAGTCTCCTACTGCCGGGTTCTACGGGGAGAAACTGACTGCGGCTCGAGGCCAGAAATGCAGCCAAAACAGCTCAGTCTTCGTCTCTTCACAAAATGGCTCCCAACAAGAATTCTGAAATGATGTAAAGAAAAGCACAACAACATTTTTGAAATAAAGACAAAATTGCATTTAGAAAAAAAATCAAAGCTTCAAAGTGTTCATATGAAAAAAAGAAAAAAAGACAGGATATAGTTCTGTGCCGTCGTAGGCTGCACTGTCACCGTTCTAGACCGGCTGACTGTAGGTCAGATGGGAGTGTCCTTCCAGAAATTAGTGACTTACCAGATCTGGTTGTAGTTTAGACCTCTGGTTGTAGTTGTAGCTCAGACCTCAGGAAGAGCCAAGCAGGAACTCCAGGCTTGAAGACTTTGAGTCTGTCCTGTGGGTCTTTAGAAGCTTTTATTGACCTTTCTAATCACAACTCCCACCCACGCCCCTCCACATATCCGCTGCTAGCTTCCAATCAAAAAGCGATATCTGATTGCATTTCTGAAGCTCCACTCAGTTAATCCTGATTGGGTTTTTGGCTGTCCGAAGACTAATGGATTGAACCAGGTATCCATTCATATCACATATGCATATTCATTTCATGAATTAAGAAATTGACAGCGTTAGGGATAGAGTGGAAGTCAAGAATTCATTCACTCAAGGCCAGATGAGGTGGCTCACACCTGTAATCCCAGCACTTTAGGAGGCCAAGGTAGGTGGATCACCTGATGTCAGGAGTTCAAGACCCGCCTGGCCCACATGGTGAAACCCTGTCTCTACAAAAATAGAAAAGTTAGCCAGGCACGATGGTGGCTGCCTGTAGTCCAGCTACTCATGTGGCTGAGGTGGGAGAATCCCTTGAACCCTGGAGGCTGAGTTTGCAGTGAGCCAAGATTACACCATTGCCCTCCTGACTGGGTGACGGAGGGAGATTTTGTCAAAAAAAAAATGCATTCATTCATGAAATCCACAAACACTGATGGAATTTTACTGCTATGTCGCCTTCAGGTCCTGAGTGTGAGGCAGGGAAGGGGTTGATCTGTTCCGGACATTAGACAGAAAAATAAAACCTGAAAGTAGTGTTGTGGGGAGATCTTTGGCCACATCAAAATTATAAAAATGCTTTCTAGTTAAAACAACTTTATAAAAACGGAGTCATCCCTACAAAATAAGAATAAAGATCTCCATGTATGGAATGGTCTTGTGGGTTTTATATCACCTAAGGTAGCAGTTTCTTCACTCGTGCTGGTGGAAGAGAGGTGCCACTCAGGGCGTGAGTGGTCTCAGTGCTTAGGTTAAGGCTTCTTTGGAAGAAATTGAAACGATACCTATAAACTTTATAAATTTAATCAGTGAAGAAGGGAGGGGGAGAAACAAAAATAAACCAAGCTTGCAGCGCATTCAGCATTCACCATGAGGTCAGCTTGCTCTCTGACCTTCTTCCTCATGGTTGCTGGCAGCCTACTGTCCCCAAATCATTTAGACCTTAGATTACAGTTCCCCTTAACTGCCCTGCAGACAACAATTTAAGCCTTGTAAAACATTAACTTTTTCATTTGAGATATTCTTACGTTCTGCATGTCAGTGAAAGTACTGATGCCAGCTGATCTGAAGGGCCCTACAAGGCACCAACGCACCAAAGAATGCAGTTTTGACATCCTGATGACTTCATCCCTCTTAACTCTATATCAACTTTCCAGCCCCTTGCTATCCAGGATCCACTGGAAACCCTCAGTGGATCTCCTCCTTGGGGAGATGAATTTGAGGATCTCCTCCTAGCTTCTCATTTAGCCACCCTGTGATCATTAAACTCTCTGCTGCAAACTCTGCTGTCTCAAAATATTGGTAAGCTACTGTGCAGCAGGCATAGGAATCTGATGGTCCTGTAATAAAATCATGTCAAAATTGCAAAAGGAAGTGAGGGTAGAGGATGGGCTTGGTTGAGCTTGGTGTTTTAATGGGATCCTGGGAGTGAACCAAGACTTGGTAAACATGTTGGGGGTTACTGAGGGGGTGGAGGAGGAATCTATCCAATATTTCACTGATGCCCCTTTGGTTTTGATTATTAGGACCAAGGATGAGCCTTTCAAAACAATTTATATAATCCTCCTTATTTTTCCTTTCAAAACCTTCATCTTCTATTTTTCTCCCAAAATAATCTCACATCCATTCCCAATGCTTTGCTCATTTCAGGATAAACATCTTTTTTCTTTTTTTCTTACACAGTCTCCTTCTCTGTTAAGTAGACCATATATTTTGTTGCCACAAAATGTCATTTGGACTGCTTCAAACACAGGAATTTTCTGAATTTCATGTGAAACCCCTCCTCAGAAATATTTTCCTTACTCCAGGAGATTTGCTGATATATCAGGTTGGGGTGTAAACTGGATATGGCAGCCCTGGTACCACCAACTCTGTACCAAAGTCTACATTGATCTGGATCTCAGCTTCTCCATTTTTTATTTAAGGGTATTATAGAAAATAATTTACCAGAGAGTTATTTGAAGTTCCATCAATATGGAGCCATCAGAAATGTTCTCTATCCAGGTTCGGTGGCTCGTGCCTGTAATCCTATCACTTTGGGAGGCCAAGGCCGGAGGATAACCTGAGGTTGGGTGTTGGAGACCAGCCTGACCAACACAGAGAAACCATGTCTCTACTAAAAATACAAAATTAGCTGGCTGTAGTGGCACATGCCTGTAATCCCTGCTACTTGGGAGGCTGAGACAGTAGAATCACTTGAACCCGGGAGGTGGAGGTTGCAGTGGGCTGAGATTGTGCCATTGCACTCCAGCCTGAGCCACAAGAGTCTGGGACACCACCTAGATTAGACCCAGTTACACTAATGTTTCCTATGCATAGAGATAAGTTACCAGTAATGAAATCAATAATAGTCATAGGCCACCCATTTGCATCTATAGCTTCTTCTCAGTGCCGAGTCATTTAATCATAAATATTACCCAACCGTGTGTGAGAGCAGGTTCTACTATTAGTTGTGATCCTTCCTATTCATCTAAATGACTCCATAGGCAGCAATTGCTTTGGTTAGTGATAGTGGCTAAATTTTGAAGAGGAGACCTTAGAAAGTGTTTGCTTTGACTGGTGAAAGTACGTAACAAAATAAAATGTAGGCTTGATCATTTTGTGTTAGTACAAAACAAAACCAAGTCTCAGTCAATGGAAGGAGATCGAATGGAGTTTTGTTCCATTTTCTTAAAACAGCTGTCTACCATGTGATGATGTCTGCTTGTAAGAAAGGCTTTTTTCCTTGGTTATCCTTAATTTTAAGTCACCTGGTATGGTCTCATCCAATGCTGCTCATGGGCAGATTTCCCTTAGGGCCATTTTAAAAGACACAATCTCCAAATGGTAGGGCATGAAGGTCCAATCATCATTAAAAGCCTCCTTCACCTACTGGAAATAGTCTTTGAAAGGTCTCGTGGTACTGAGTCATATTGTTACTGAATGATGAGCTCACTCTCCTAAGTGCATAGAACCCAATACTACACCACCATGGTTTGAGAAAAGCAAAAAAGGCTGGGCACGGTGGCTCATGCCTATAATACCAGCACTTTAGGAGGCCGAGGGAGTCAGATCACAAGGTCAGGGGTTTGAGACCGCCTGGACAACATGGGAAAACCCTGTCTCTACTAAAAATACACAAATTAGCTGGGTGTGGTGATCCATGCCTGTAATCCCAGCTACTCTGGAGGCTGAGTCAGAAGAATGGCATGATCCTGGGAGGCAGAGGTTGCAGTGAGCTGAGATTGCACCTCTGCAGTCCAGCCTGGGTGACAGGGCAAGACTCCATTTTGGGAAAAAATAAAAAATTATTAGGAGTTAACTGGACCGGGCACAATGGCTCATGCCTGTAATCCCAGCACTTTAGGAGGCCGAGGCGGGCAGATCACAAGGTCAGGAGTTCCAGACCAGGATGACCAATATGGTGAAACTCCCTCTCTACTAAAAATACAAAAATTAGTCAGGCATCGTGGTGCACGCCTGTAATCCCATCTACTGTGGAGGCTGAGGCAGGAATCACTTGAACCCGGAAGGCCAAGTTTGCAGTGAGCTGAGATCACGCAACTGCACTCCAGCCTGGGCAACAGAGCAAGACTCTGTCTCAAAGAAAAAAATAAAAATAAAAATAAAAATAAAAAATAGTTAACTGACAGGGAGACAGGAGACAAGTTCCAAGCCTGTCTCCCCAATCTGGGGATAGTGGAGCAAGCTCACATGGCCTTTCCAACTGGTTTCAGGTGATGCCAATTCAAACAGTCAGCCAGGCTGTGTTAACAGTTAAGAGGTTAAACCTTTTTCCCATCGGACATGCCTGAGCAATTTAGGCTTTGCAACTTAAGCAATGGTTAATCTGTTGGAGTTGAACCCCTGGTTACACAGTCAGAGCTAAAATGTGCAGGGGATACATGAGGTTCTATTATCAAAGGCATAGGTTCTCCAGTAAATACTTTATGATCGGTGCTTCTGATTGTAGTTGGTGAAAAAAAATACCTTATGATGGGTCTGGCTGTATTTTCCCATAGGGGTGGTAAAAATTATATTAAAGTAAGCCAGTCTTACTGGGCGTGGTGGCTCACACCTGTAATCTCAGCACTTTGGGAGGCTGAGGCTGGCGGAACACTTGAAGCCAGGAGTTGACCAGCCTGGGCAACATGGTGAAACCCCATTATCTACTAAAAATACAAAAATTAGCTGGGTGTGGTGGCATGCCTGTAATCCCAGCTACTTGGGAGGCTGAGGCATGAGAATTACTTGAACCCAGGAGGCAGAGGTTGCAGTGAGCCGAGATAGCACCACTGTACTCCAGCTTGGGCATCAGAGACTCTGTGTCAAGTTTCTCCAGAGGTGCACCAGAAAGGAAACACATTTTATAATCATTTATTCACTATGACTATGGCATCAGCCTTTCTAAAAAGGTAAGCTACAACCCATCCTGAAAATGGACACACAATCACAAAAATTGTAGCCTTTTTACATGGCTCACTGTCATCATTGGTCCATGACATTCCCTTTTCTTGCCGCTATATGTGTGTATGTCTACATATTCATATCTATATCTACACCTATTTTTTATTACCATGATTCACTTCCACTCCCCTTTCCATAGATAGCCACTCTACTCTTTGACATAGCCTTGAATTTGCATGTGACCTCTTAGAAAATAAGTATATAGAAAGTATATGGAATATATACTTGAAATTTGTATGTGTATTTATATTAATCCACATATATGCTATAGTGTAGGGTGCTACAGAAGAGGGCCTGACAATTAATTGTCCAGTCCTAGACACTTTGGAGAGTGAATGGACATGCTGTTATAATTAATTATTTTTTTTTGGAGATGGAGTCTCACTCCGTCGCCAGGCTGGAGAGCAATAGTTCCATCTTGGTTCACTGCAAACTCTGCCTCCTGGATTCAAGTGATTCTCCTGCCTCAGCCTACCGAGTACCTGGGATTACAGGTGTCCACCACCATGCCCAGCTATTTTTTGTATTTTAATAGAGAGATAGTTTTGCCACTTTGGTGAGGCTGGTCTCGAACTCCTGACCTCAGGTGATCCGCCCACCTCACCTCAGGTGATCCGCCCACCTCAGCCTCCCAAAGTGCTGGGATTACAGACGTGAGCCACTCCACCGGGCCTTGTTATAATTAAGATTTTCAGAACAACAGGGGTGTATGAAGGCTTATAATCACCTTTACCATAGACCTTGGTCTCTCACCTAAGTTTGTAACTAATATATTTTTCAAATATAATAACAATAAAAATATCCTTGCTTGCCCTATGTCAAATCCAGCTCGAAGTACTTAAATAGATTAACTTATAACACTCTGTGAAGTCAATATTGCTATTATCCCATTTTATATGTGAATGAGCTAAGGCACAGAGAGGTTAAGTAAGTTGGGTAAGACCACACAGCCATTGGCCACTGAGCCAGTTTTTTTTTTCTGGGATGGAGTCTCGTGCTGTCGCCCAGGCTGGAGTGCAGTGGCGCGATCTCGGCTCACTGCAAGCTCTGCCTCCCGGGTTCACTCCATTCTCCTGCCTCAGCCTCCCGAGTAGCTGGGACTACAGGTGCCTGCCACCATGTCTGGCTAATTTTTGTATTTTTAGTAGAGATGGGGATTCACCGTGTTAGCCAGGATGGTACTGAGCCAGTTTTGAACCTAAATTAAACAGTCTGGATCTGCTGGATCTGGAGTCTTTACTACTAACCAAAATACCTACGTGCCTTCAAATCCTAAGTTGCTGAGGGTCTTACCTTGTTTCATATCTCACTAGGAAGGGAGCTAATGTTTATCCATTACATCTGATGTTTAATGCAAGTTTTCAACATACAACATCTCATTTTCCAAAATATGCTATGATAAATTTAATTTGATTTTTCTTCAATTCCTTTCTGCATTTTGTAGGAACCTTGCTTTTCCCCCTTTAGTTTGTCAGTATGCTGAATTACACTTAGATTTTTCTGTGATTGGCTGGCATTCCTGGAATGGCCATTATATATTACTATATTGTTTTCTTTCTTTCTTTTTTTTTTTTTTTGAGCTGGAGTTTCACTCTTGTTGCCCAAGCCGAAGTGCAATGGCACGATCTCGACTCACTGCAACCTCCACCTTCTTGGTTCAAGCGAATCTCCAGCCTCAGCCTCCTGAGTTGCTGGGATTACAGGCATGCGCCACCACACCTGGCTAATTTTGTATTTTTAGTAGGGATGGGGTTTCTCCATGTTGGTCAGGCTGGTCTCGAACTCCAGACCTGAGGTGATCCACCTGCCTCAGCCTCTCAAAGTGCTGGGATTGCAGGCATGAGCCACGGAGCCTGGCCTGTCTATCACTTTCTGATGCAGTGTTGCATTTAGTTAGCTGGTAATTTATTAAGTACTTTTTTCTGGCTGACCGTGGTGGCTCATGCCTGTTTGCCAATCATTTGCTGCCAGAACATGGGCAGATTTTTCTCTGGCCAAGTCTCAGGTTTATCAGGTTAGAAATGGGGAAAATAGCAACGTGCCTTAGATTCTCCATGAGGAAGAGCTGAGGTCCGGGATGATCGGTACCAGCCATCTGTTGTGCCTCGTGGATGCTCAGTGAACACAGATTCTCACAACCATTATTGGTGCTGAGCTCACCCTCAGCCTCAGGTTTACAAAGTGGGGCGTGGGAAGTAGAAGCCTCACTGGGCTCAGGTGATCCTCCCACCTCAACTTCTTGGGCAGCTTGGCCTACAGGTGCACACTGCCTCCCCCTGGCTAATATCTTGTATTTGTATTAGAGACAGGGTTTCATCACATTGCCCATACTCCTCACAAATTCCTGAGCTCTAGCACTCTGCCTTTCTTGGCTTCCCAAAGGGCTGGGATTGGAGGCCTGAGCTTGCTTGCTTTCCCTTCCCAAGTGTGGCCCCGATCTTCTCTCTGGCCTCTGCTCCAGCTCACATTCTCAGATTCCATCTTTGCAAGCTGGTTTTCTGAGAGGAGCCCATCATTTTTGTGGGTAAACACCCTTTACCTTCTAGTAGGGCCAAGACTATACCTGCCCCCTGTGTTCTCAAAGCCAATGTTATGGTTAAGAGTCTGACCTATCTCTTTTGATGATTCTCCTTTGAATTTCTGAACTCAATCTAGGGTGTGTGAGATGGCTGATGCCTGTAATCCTAGCACTTTGGGAGGCTGAGGTGGGGAGATCACTTGAGGTCAAGAGTTCGAGACCAGCCGGGCCAACATGGTGAAACCCCATCTCAACTAAAAATACAAAAATTAGTGGGGCATGTTGGAGCGCACCCATAATTCCCAGCTACTCGGGAGGCAAGGTGAGAAAATCGCTTGAACCCAGAAAGTTGAGGTTGCAGTGAGCTGAAATCATGCCACTGCACTCCAGCCTGGGTGACAGATGGTGGCCCAGTCTGAAAATCAAAGAATCAATAAATAAACTCAATCTTGACAAAGGACTTTCAGTCCTGACATCTAGATGCCCACAAGATAACCACCATGTTTTACATTGTCTTGTTTCCTTTGCAGGTTCCCATTAGAAAACCTAGTCTCATTCCACTCAGTCCGCACCTCACTTGGTCATTTTGTCCTGATTTCCTTCAGTGAAGCCTTGACTTAGTCTTGAGATAGATCACACCCTCAGTGGTTCCTTTCTTCTACCTGAATGTGCATATGATCTGCTATGTTAGATAGCATAAAACACAGGTAACCATTCGATATACACAGCTTTTTATTCTGTTTTCTTGGGAATGACATCACTATCTTCTTCAGGCTGTTGTAGCTCTGAAACATTTTGACAATTTTGATGTGGCCAAACATCCTCCAATAAGGACACCTTAAGGTTTTTTTTTTTTTTTTGTCTGATATCAGGAACAGATTAATCCCTTCCCTGTATCACTATGAAAGTCATCTATTAGCCAAACTTCATCAGTATTTGGGGAATAAATGAATGAATGAGTTTTGGACTTTCACCCTATTATTTATTCTTTTACTTCCATAAATGTGTATCTAATTCGATCAATTAGTCAGAAGAAAGCTGAAAACTCAATCAGGATTAACTGGGTGTGACTGCAAGATCTAATCAGGTATCACTTTCTGATTGGAAGCTGGTGATTGAGAAGGGAAGGGTGGGGTTAGAAAGGTCTATAAAAGCTCCTGAGGGTACCCAGAAGAGACCCACAGCACTCACACCTGAAGCTACTGGTTGGTTCCCTGAGAGGTCCCAGAACTCTGCAAAGTGAGTCCAGCGCTGGTAAGTCACCACCTTCTTAGGGTCATGCCCATCTGATCAGCAGCCAGCCAGTCAGGGACGGTGACACACATCCCAAAGTGGCACACAATATTTTTCTGTCTGTTTTGTGAGATGAACAGATTTAGGCTTTCATTTTTCCTCTAAATGTAGTTTTGTCTTCATCCATCAGATTGTGATTTGTGCTTGGTTTTTGTCATTTTAAAATTCTTATGGAAGCAGGTTTTTTAAAAATATATTAAAACTTTACAGTGACATGAATTTTTATTTCTTGACATTTGAAGTTATTTGTTTTTGTGCCTTTCAATTACAGTTCATAGACTTGGTGTTATTGTGATCCTCCAAGTATGCTTTCATTTTCATAAAATCCTTAAAGGTATCCCACACACCAATCTCAAGAGTGCAGTTTTGCTCAGATTGTGGGATTTATTTTTGACCCTAGGATCGATCCATCAAAAAGTGGGTAATTGTGAGTATGTGGAAGTGATGTCTATAGGAACCTTCATCTTAGAGTTACAGTGCTCTAGAATAGCATGGTAGCACTTTTACAGTTTCTGGTTGATTTTTTTTTTGAGATGGAGTTTCCCTATTGTTGCCCAGGCTGGAGTGCCATGGTGTGGTTTGGCTCACTGAAATTTCTGCCTCCTAGTTACATGTGATTCTCCTGCTTCAGCCTCCTGAGTAGCTTGGATTACAGGCACTCACCACCATGCCCAGCTAATTTTTGTATTTTTAGTAGACACAGGGTTTTGCCATGTTGGCCATGCTGGCCTCAAACTCCTGACCTCAGGAGATCTGCCCCCCTCAGACTCCCAAAGTGCTGGGATTACAGGAGTAAGCCAGCATGCCCAGCTACAGTTAGCATTTCTATACATACCTTCCAAATGCTGTGGAATACCATCACACCACTTTTACAGTTCCAGTGAATTATTTTGTTTTTTTCTGCGATGTACTCTGAGTGCGTCACCCAGACTGGAGTGCAGGGCCCTGAGCTGGGCTCCCTGGAAACTCTGCCTCTGGGCTTCAAGTGATTCTCCTTCCTCTGCCTCCAGAGTAGCTAGGATTACAGTCATGCATGACCACACCTGGCTAATATTTAAATTAATTAATTTATCAATTTGTTTATTTTTGAGTCAGAGTCCAACGCTGTCACCCAGGCTGGAGTGCAGTGGTGTGATGTCGGCTCACTGAAACCTCTGCCTTCTGGAGTCAAATGATTCTTAACTTTTGTATATTTAGTAGAGACATGGTTTCATTATGTAGGCCCAGGCTGTTCTCGAACTCCTGACCTCAAGTGATCTGCCTGCCTTGGTGTCCAGCAGTGTTGGGATTACAGACATGAGCCACAGCACCTGGTCCATTTCTGGTAGAAAATTTTCAAAATAAAAAATAATGGCATCGATTTTAGGGAGTCCCTTTAGTGTTCCCCCAGCATGTTCATGGTGTGAACTGAGAATGGAGGCTGTCTGGGCCCACGGGACACTCTCATTCTCAATGCTTTAGGGTGGTAAGTGACAAGAAATTTTTCCTCAAAGAGGTAGAGCTTGGCTTTCAGGATCCTCAGTGGCACTGTCCAGTGGTTCTGGGATTCAGTGGAGCGAAGGATGAAAATTAATGGGTCAATGGTCTCTTTGACCCCTCCCTCCTTGGTGTTTGGAAGATATTCTTCCTGGTACCAGCAGAAGCAGAAGTATAGATTTGAGGCCAACAAGCACAGTGGAATTGGGGTAAAGTGGTAATTTTTCTACCTCTACCAGAGCAATGATATTGGTCCTAGGAGAAGATGAGGTGATTGTGTTTGCCCTGAGAGTGATACATTCTCCCTGGATTTGTCTTCTAGAGATTTTTCTTGCAGATCCATCAGGATGAGCATCCAGGCCCCACCGAGACTACTGGAGCTGGCGGGGCAGAGCCTGCTGAGAGACCAGGCCTTGTCCATCTCTGCCATGGAGGAGCTGCCCAGGGTGCTCTATCTCCCACTCTTCAGGGAGGCCTTCAGCAGGAGACACTTCCAGACTCTGACGGTGATGGTGCAGGCCTGGCCTTTCACCTGCCTCCCTCTGGTATCGCTGATGAAGACGCTTCATCTGGAGCCATTGAAAGCATTGCTGGAAGGGCTTCATATGCTGCTTACACAGAAGGATCGCCCCAGGTGAGGTGACCCAGGAGGGCTAGTAGATAGGGCTCAGGTGTCCAGGGAAAGAACAGCAGGGTCAGGCAGAGAAGTAACCCAAGTGCGGCCCAGAGTCTTCTGATGGTGTTGGCGAGGAAGCTCAGGGAGGCTTTGGCCATTGTCCAGATCCTCAGAGAAAGGACTGCTCACCATACAGGGTCCACTGTGGGAACAGAAGCCGGCCTTTACTCAGTGGAAGGTAAAGGGAATAGAAGTGGGGACCACTCAGAATCCAAAGGGAAAAGGGATTGAGAAAAGACAAAGAGAACAGGGAGCACTGAGGACAGGAGCAGCTGATTTATGGGATGAGAATGAAAGCAAAGGTCAGGGATGAGTCCCTCTAAATTCTGAGCCTCTCCCTTACTTTACCCACAGGAGGTGGAAACTTCAAGTGCTGGATTTGCGGGATGTTGATGAGAATTTCTGGGCCAGATGGCCTGGAGCCTGGGCCCTGTCCTGCTTCCCAGAGGCCATGAGTAAGAGGCAGACAGCAGAGGACTGTCCAAGGACGGGAGAGCACCAGCCCTTAAAGGTGTTCATAGACATCTGCCTCAAGGAAATACCCCAGGATGAATGCCTGAGATACCTCTTCCAGTGGGTTTACCAAAGGAGAGGTTTAGTACACCTGTGCTGTAGTAAGCTGGTCAATTATCTAACGCCAATTAAATATCTCAGAAAGTCATTGAAAATAATATACATTAATAGTATTGGGGAGCTGGAAATTCACAACACGTGCTGGCCACATCTGATAAGAAAGCTTTATTGTTACCTGAAGGAGATGAAGACTCTTTGCAAACTCGTTTTCTCCAGGTGCCATCATTACACGTCAGATAATGAACTCGAGGGATGGTTAGTCACCAGATTCACCTCTGTGTTCCTCAGGCTGGAACACCTCCAGTTGCTTAAAATAAAATTGATCACCTTCTTCAGTGGGCACCTGGAACAGCTGATCAGGTGAGAAAGGATTGTGCACTTTGTATGCAGACCACAGCACAGACTTGTTCTGTTACAGCAAACATTAGAAGGCGTGTACTGTGTGCCAGCCAGTGGCAACGTCACAGTGAAGGGAACACCAGAATGTCAACACATTGTCCCATTCAGTGTTCCATGTCCTGGAGTGGCTATCACAGGATCGCTCCAATAAGGGCAGAGGGGTCACCTGGGGTAGAAGCTAGAGAGGGACATCATGTACAAGCTAGTCAGTGGGGGTTTCAGCTCTATTGGGGGTGCACGTGTGAATTTCCTGTTACAAAGTGTGTTTCAAGTTGATATGATGTCAAAGAGATAATAGAGGAGGGTATGAAAGGAGGGAAAGCGCATCAAACCTGTCCATTTCACAATAGAACGTCTGTCCTCACCGGCTTAGTGATCACGAATGATCCTGTCTTTAATTCCCTGTCTGCAAAACGTTGTTTTGAACTCCAGGAAAGGTAATTGACATGGGAAATGCGTGCTTCCGGGATGGAGGTGAGGGAGTAGGCGTGAGAGTGGTAAAAAGTGACAGTTGGTTTGCAGATGCAGGCATGTCAGGGAGCCCCTGCCGACATGTAGCCCTAGCTGATGTCCCTAGACCTTGCTGAGTTGAGTTCTTTGTTCACATCTCCCACGGGGTACCTGTAGCCCAGAGATGAAGTTTTCTGCTAAAAGATGAAAAACAAAAAGGCTTTAGAGATTTTATGGCCTTGACCCAATCACACAAGCAATGGTGAAAGGGCTGAGGCTAAAATGGGACAGCCCCTGAACGATCAGGGTCCTCATCATGCAGCAACTTCCATGAGGACCATCATCAGATGGTGGGAACAAACTTGTGTTTGGTTGAAGCAGGTATTTTCCTTGAGGTTATTCCCCACTACCTTCATCTAACTGGTACCATTGCCCAGAACTAACTTCTTGATCTCCACAGGTGCCTCCAGAACCCCTTGGAGAACTTGGAATTAACTTGTGGCAACCTATTAGAAGAGGACTTGAAGTGTCTCTCCCAGTTCCCAAGCCTCGGTTACCTAAAGCATCTGAATCTCAGCTACGTGCTGCTGTTCCGCATCAGTCTTGAACCCCTAGGAGCTCTGCTAGAGAAAATTGCTGCCTCTCTCGAGACCCTCGTGTTAGAGGGCTGTCAGATCCACTACTCCCAACTCAGTGCCATCCTGCCTGGCCTGAGCTGCTGCTCCCAGCTCACCACCTTCTACTTTGGCAGCAATTGCATGTCTATTGACGCCCTGAAGGACCTGCTGCGCCACACCAGTGGGCTGAGCAAGTTAAGCCTGGAGACGTATCCTGCCCCTGAGGAGAGTTTGAATTCCTTGGTTCGTGTCAATTGGGAGATCTTCACCCCACTTCGGGCTGAGCTGATGTGTACACTGAGGGAATTCAGGCAGCCCAAGAGGATCTTCATTGGCCCCACCCCCTGCCCTTCCTGTGGCTCATCACCGTCTGAGGAACTGGAGCTCCATCTTTGCTGCTAGGGAAGGCGTGCCCAGTGGGGTAGAGAAATCCAAAGTTCTCTTCCAGGCACTTGGACACTAAAATCTACTATGTAGGTGCAAACTATTTTTCTCTTTTCTTATTTATTTCATTTTTTAATAATTCCAAAATTTTTATTAAAGACAATTTGAGACAGGGTTTCTCTGTGTTGCTCTGGGATCCTCCTGCCTCAGCTTCCTAAAGTGCTGGGATTACTGGCATGAGTGACTGTGTCCAGGCCACATGCAACTTAAAGGAAGCACAGGCAAGTGCTCAGTGTGAGAGAGAAAACATAACAGCAGGGGGCAAGGCTGGAGGAAAATGTTGAGGTGACATCAATGAGAACTTCAGGGACCCGTGTCCTACAGAGTCGGAAAGAGAAGCTAAAGTTCTACAGTGATGAGAATGTTATCCCTGCAAGGATGGTTACCAAGGAATATCAGAAATAAAGAGCACCTGAATGAAAACTTTTAACGTGTTGTAGCAATTTATCCACCAGAAATATCTAGTTATTGAGTTACTGATGGAAAAATAATGAAATACTACTTTGTCTGTGATTGAGTTTCAGCTGTAGAACATCAAAGCAACCAAATAAAATTTGATCATTTTAAGTATTTCCCACCCATTCTTGTTCTTTGTTTTGTTTTGGAGACAAAATCTCAGTTTGTCATTTAGGCTGGAGTGCAGTGGTGCAATCTGGGCTCATTGCAATCCTTTCCTTCAGGGCTCAAGTGATTCTTGTGCCTCAACCACTCAATTAGCTGGGACGGCAGGCACGTTTCACCAAGACTGGCTGATTTTTGTATTTTTAATGGAGATGAGGTTTTTCCATGTTGATCAGCCTGGTCTCAAGATCCTGGCTTTGAGTGATCCACTGACCTTGGCCTCCCAAAGCGCTGGGAAAACAGGCATACAGATGATTTCCACCCATTCTTTACTTCTCTTCAGTCATCAGTTTTTTTCTTACTTTTTTGCCCAAGGGGAGCAGCTCGGTCAGGCGCGAAGGGACGGGCAGAGAGGGGCCCCAAGGAGAAGATAGGAATGGGGTGGTGCCACGTTCGCACAAGATGTGCGGATGCCAGGCCCAGAAGGCATAGCTGGGGCCATCCATCAGGGGGCCAGGGTGAGAAGCAGAAATGGCACCTGTTTCAAGGACCTGGCCAGCTATCTGGCCACTGTGCCCATCCTGCTAACAGTGTCAAGCTCCCAGGTCTTGAAGGGAGGGTCTATGCGGATCCACCCCATGCTGTGTTTCCGAGATCCGCCCCCCATAGGAGTGACCAGCCCGATTGCTGGGCCTGGGAACTATGAACCACTCCTGGAGGCACCCCCCTTGACAGGGTCATGAGCCAGGCCTGTGCTCCATTTCCCTGAGGCAGCCAACTGTGCCACCCACACCCTCTCATTGCAAAATGGAACCTTGTCCCAGGTCTGGAGTCTCCACCACAGCCTCTACTTCACTGCTCACTGCCTGCCGTTAGCCTGCAAGCTCCTGGATGATAGTGCAGTTGGGGCTGGTTAAACCACACCCAGGAGCATTGGGTTTGTTTGTGTGGGGTTGGCCAGAGCTGCTGTGTACCTGCTTCTCAACTGTCACTTCTGCAGGGAAACACAGAGAGAGGGCACAGCCAAGGCTGCGTACACTTCAGAGCTGATGGGAGCCTGGGACAAGAGGGAGTCCTGGTCCTCCTGAGTTGGCAGGGCAGTAGCTCCAAAGACGCAACTGAAGTTGTCCAGGTCACAGTTACCAAATGAGGTCCCCCAGTACTCTCGAGGGTCCAGGAGATCCCCCCTTCTCCTGCAGCTTGGGGGTGTCCGCTCTCACTGCCTCATCTCTCATGGCACCTGCTCTAATTTTGGAGTGTGGTTGTGGTCAAGCCCAGATGCTGTCACAGCCCAGGTGGGTCTGTGCACACTCGGGTCAGTGCTGATGCACCATCCCACTGCTGTCTTGAACCCTCTGGACTTTGGGCCTTGATGAGTGTAGGAGGGAGGCTGAGGGGTGTTGCGGACTGATCAGCACTGGTCTTTGGATGCTCCTTGGTACAAGTGACCTGGGCTCCATGGTTGGTGGTGGGAAGCAGACAGAATCCTGGACAGGAAGGTGAGGGTCACTGGTGAAGCTCCACCTTCTGATCAAGGAGGGTCTGAAGCCCGTGGGCTGGGCCACCAGTCCTATGGACCAGAGTGGGAACATGTGTTGCCTTTTCTGTGCCTGCTCATGGCCACCTATGACCCAATGAGTGCATACTTTCTCCTGTCTGATGTCAAAAAAACCCCAGACTCAGGGAGAACATTAGGAAGACCAGTGGCAGAGAGGAACTACCCACTGTTGGGATGATTTTCCTGTAGAGACAAGCAACCCCCTCCGGGTCCTTTTCTCTGCTGAGAGCTGTAGAGATGATGAGATGACTTTCCTGCAGAGAGCAGCAACCCACTCCAGGGCCTTCTCTCTACTGAGAGCAGTGGTGATGATGGAATAACCTGCCAGGAGGGAGGGGTCACCCACCCCAGGGCCTCCTCTCTGCTCAGAGCTAAACACTCATCAGGACGCCCTGGCTGCAGAAAGAAGTTACCCACTGTGGGTCTCTAAGCTGTTCTATTGCTCAATAAAGCTCTTCTTTATCTCACTCACCCTCCACTTGTCTGCATATTTCACTCTTCCTGGTCACAGGACAAAAACTTGAGACCCGCCTAATGGTGGGGTAAAAGAGCAATAACACAAATAAAGCTGAAACATGCCCCTTGCTCACCAAATTGTAGGTGAAGAGAAAAAGAGAAGAGCAACTACTCTTCCAGGAGCCCAGATGTGGGAGCTTCCTGAGCCAGGGCTGTGACTCCCTTTTGGGGGTTCTGCAGTTCCTGGCATTTCCAAGCTTTCAGTGTTGGTGTCACTGTGTATTCCAGTGACAACCATGGAAGCTGTTTGTGCTGTGCCTGATTCATTTGCAGCCTTGCAGAAATCTGGCACACATGCTGGCATCTGGAGCTGCCCATCCCACTGCTGCAGCAGCAGCAGCCGGTGACCGTCCAAAGTGGCCAGACCCCCTGCTCACTCACACACCCCTCACCACTCCAGCCCTGACCCGCCCTTAATAGGCATGTGCTCCAGGCCTGAAACATGAGCCAAGCATAGTCTACCAGGCTGCATGGGCAGAACGAACCCAGTGAACCCCATCAAAACTCTGGCAAAGGTGCCCCCAGCCACAGAGGTTTCTGGCCGGAAGAGTCACATTCCAAGTATTCCAGAAGAGAAAATTACTTAAACACAAAGAAAGACAATAAGAAAAGGATGGAAGAGAGAAGTCTCTAAACAACCAAAAAACAAGGAATGAAATGGGAGCACTAAGCTTTTATCAATAAAAACAATGAATATAATTTATCTGAATTCTGCAAGTGAAAGGCAAAGGGTCTTTGAATGAGTAAAAAAATACGACCCTACTATATGCTGTTTTCCAGAAACTCAATTCACCTATAAGCATACATGTAGATGGAAAGTGATGGGGTAGAATAAGATATTCCATGCAACTGGAAACCAAAAACAGCAAGAGTAGCTGTACTTATATCAGGTAAAATAGATGCCAAATCTCACAATGCACTCAGGTAAAACAGAATACAAATCTGAGCTTGTAAAATAATAGACTACGCTTACACAAACTATGCCTAGAAAGAACATACATCAAAATAATAGAAGCCAAAAATAAATCCACATGCAACATCATATTGAATGAAGAAACGTTGAAAGTATTCCTGCTAGGAACTACAAGCAGACAAAAATGCTCACTTTATCCACTTGCAATCAACATAGGACTGAAAATGTTTGTCAGAGCAATCTGGTAAGCAAAAGGAATAAAGTATAATTAAATTGGAAAGAAGGAAGTGAAACTACCTGTGTTTGCCAATGATGTGATCATATGTGCTTAGAAAACCGGAAAGATTCCACCAAGACTCGTAGATGTGATAAGTGAATTCACTTAAATCTCAGGTACAAAATTAATATGTACAAATCAGTACCACTGTTTGATATCAACAACAAGCAAGCTGAGAATCAATTCAAGAACTCCATCCCTTCACAATAGTTGCAAAACAACAACAAAAACAGTGACAATAACAAAAACAACCTAGGAATACACTTAACCATTAGGTAAAGGATCTCTATGAGATGAACTACAAGACACTGCTGAAAAAAATCATAGACAACAAAAAAGTAGAAAAATATCCCATGCTCATGGATTGACAGACACAATGTTGTGAAAATCACCACACTGCCCAAAGCAATCTAAAACCTGCAAACATCAAACATCAATCTAAAAACGTCAGTCTAAAAATTTCATACACCAAAATACAAACACCATTTTCACAAGATTAAAAAAAGAATCCTAAGATTCATATGGAGATGAAAAAGAGGCTGAAGAGCCAAAGCAATCCGAAGCAAAATGAACAAATATGGAGGCATCACATTACCTGACTTCAATTTATACAGTAAGGCAATAGTAAGCAAAACTGCGTGGTACCAGTATGAAGGTCGAGACATAGACCAATGGAATGGAATAGAGAACCCCGGAATAAAGCCACATACTTACAACCCAGCGGTAGGACTGCTGCTTCTCAGTTTGTGCTGAGTGATGCCCCTTGGGGATATGGGGCCAAAGTTACTGGATTTTTCCCCCAAGAAAACCAGAGAGTGAATTGTGATATCCTGTGTGATTTTTAGACTGACTATTGCCATAGTGCTTAGGTCGTCTCCAGGTGCCCAGAGACTCAATCACCAACCAGTGTCCACATTCTTGTCACCGCTGCAAGAAAGAGTTTAGGAAGTAGGCAGAATGAAGCAAAAGGCAAGAAGTGTCTATTGCAAAGCAAAGGAACACACTCAAGAGAGGGCTTATTCAGGAGAGCGAGTCAGGTACAAGAGAGTTTGGGTTTCTAATTTTATAGGATCTGTAAGGAGAGGTTGAAATAATCATTAGGATTTTAAGAAAAAATGGTGAAGTTTTCTTAGAACTGAGGTGTCATTTATTTATTTATTTATTTATTTATTTATTTATTTATTTATGTTTTGAGATGGAGTTTCGCTCTTGTTGCCCAGGCTGGAGTGCAATGGCGCGATCTTGGCTCACTGCAATCTCCGCCTCCCGTGTTCAAGCAATACTCCTGCCTCAGCCTCTGGAGTAGCTGGGGTTACAGACATGCACCACCACACTCGGCTAATTTTGTATTTTTAGGAGAGACGAGATTTCTCCATGTTGGTCAGGGTGGTCTCAATCTCCCGACACCAGGTTATCCGCCTGCCTCAGTTTCCCAAAATGTTGGGATTACAGGCATGAGCCACTGCACGTGGCTAGGTGTTAACTATTTTTATACTAAATATGGGCATTCTCAGAACCGTCCTGGCGCTGGTGTGTGACTTACTGTCATAATAGGTGTATAATTAGGCCTGGGGTAGGGCAAGGGTCAAACCCAGTGCCATGTCTGACCAATTCAGTGTTAGCCAGCTTAGCCCCTTCCAGCTTGTTTGGATCTTATGGGTCAAGGCTTATTCTTATTCTTGCAGCTAATTTTACAGGCTCTTTTCTTGCTGCTATATGAAAT
Organism: Homo sapiens; assembly: GCF_000001405.40. Lineage (NCBI taxonomy): Eukaryota > Metazoa > Chordata > Mammalia > Primates > Hominidae > Homo > Homo sapiens. The sequence goes on from NC_000001.11 coordinate 12,867,370, forward strand.
CACTGCTTGATATTTTCATGCTTCTCCTGTGACCAGCCAGCTTTCCTATTTTATGGGTATTTCTTTTCTTCTCCCTTCCCTTCCCTTCCCTTCCCTTCACCTCCTCTCCCCTCCCCTCCCCTCCACTGTCTTGTCTTGTCTTTCTTTTTCTTTCTTTCTTTCTTTCTTTCTTTCTTTCTTTCTTTCTTTCTTTCTTTCTTTCTTTCTTTCTTTCTTTCTTTTTTCTTTCTTTCTTTCTTACTTTCTCTTTCTTTCTTTCCTTCCTTCCTTCCTTCCATCTTTCTTTCTTTCTCTCTTTCTTTCTTCTTTCTTTCTTTCTTTCTTTCTTTCTTTCTTTCTTTCTTTCTTTCTTTCTTACTTTCTCTTTCTTTCTTTCCTTCCTTCCTTCCTTCCTTCCATCTTTCTTTCTTTCTCTCTTTCTTTCTTTCTTTCTTTCTTTCTTTCTTTCTTTCTTTCTTTCTTTCTTTCTTTCTTTCTTTCTTTCTTTCTTTCTTTCTTTCTTTCTTTCCACTTTAAGTTCTGGGATACATGTGCAGAACGTGCAGTTTTGTTACATACGTATACACATGCCATGGTGGTTTGCTGCACCCATCAACCCGTCATCTACATTAGGTATTTCCCCTAATGCTACCCCTCTCCTAGCCCTCCACACCCCGAGAGGCCCTGATGTGTAATGTTCCCCTACCTGTGACCATGAGTTCTCATTGTTCAACTCCCACTTATGTGGTGTTTTGGTTTACTGTTCCTGTGTTAGTTTGCTGAGAATGATGGTTTCTAGCTTCATCCATGTCCCTGCAAAGGAAATGAACTTATTTTTTATGACTGCATAGTATTCCATGATGTATATGTGCCACATTTGCTTTATCCAGTCTATCATTGATGGGCATTTGGGTTGGTTCCAAGTCTTTGCTGTTGTGAATAGTGCTGCAATAAACATACTTGTGCATGTGTCTTTATAGTAGAAGGATTTATAATCCTTTGGATATATACCCAGTAATGGGATTGCTGGATCAAATGGTATTTCTGGTTCTAGATCCTTGAGGAATTGCCACACTGTCTTCCACAATGGTTGAACTAATTTACACTCCCACCAACAGTGTCAAAGCATTCCTATTTCTCCACATCCTTTCCAGCATCTGTTGTTTCCTGACTTTTTAATGATCACCATTCTAACTGGCATGAGATGGTATCTCACTGTGGTTTTGATTTGCATTAGAGAAATGCAAATCAAATGACCAGTGGTGATGAACATTTTTTCATATGTTTGTTGGCTGGATAAATGGTTTTTTTGGAGAGTTGTCTGTTAGTATCCTTCACCCACTTTTTGACAGGGTTGTTTGTTTTTTTCTTGTAAATTTGCTTAAGTTCCTTGTAGATTCTGGATATTAGCCATTTGTCTGATGGATAGATTGCAAAAAATTTTCCCATTCTATAGGTTGCCTGTTGACTCTGATGATAGTTTCTTTTGCTGTGCAAAAGCTCTTTATTTTAATTAGATCCCATTTGTCAATTTTGGCTTTTGTTGCCATTGGTTTTAGTGTTTTAGCCATGAAGTCTTTGCCCATGCCTATGTCCTGAATGGTATCACCTAGGTATTCTTCTAGGATTTTTAATGGCTTTAGGCCTTACATTTAAGTCTTTAATCCATCTTGAGTTAATTTTTGTATAAGGTGAAAGGAAGGGGTTCAGTTTCAGTTTTCTGCATATGGCTAGCCAGTTTTCCCAACACCGTTTATTAAATAGGGAATCCTTTCCCCATTGGCTGTTTTTGTCAGGTTTGTCAAGGATCAGATGGTTGTAGATGTGTGGCATTATTTCTGAGTCCTCTTTTCTGTTCCATTGGTCTACATATCTGTTTTGATAACTGTACCATGTTGTTCTGGTTACTGTAGCCTTGTCGTATAGTTTGAAGTCAGGTAGCGTGATGCCTCCAGCTTTGTTCTTTTTGCTTAGGATTGTGTTGTGTATACAGGTTCTTTTTTGCTTCCATATGAAGTTTTAAGTAGTTTTTTCTAATTCTGTGAAGAAACTCCATTACAGCTTGATGGGGATAGCATTGGATCTATAAATCACTTTGGGCAGTATGGCCATTTTCATGATATTGATTCTTCAGACCCATGAGCATGGAATGTTTTTCCATGTGTTAGTGTCCTCTCTTATTTCCTTAAGCAGTGGTTTGTAGTTCTCCTTGAAGAGGTCCTTCACACCCCTTGTAAGTTGTATTCCTATGTATTTTATTTTCTTTTAGCAATTGTGAATGGGAGTTCACTCATGATTGGCTCTCCGTTTGTCTATTGTTGATGTATAGGAATGATTTTGATTTTTGCACATTGATTTTGTATCCTGAGACTTTGTTGAAGTTGCTTATCAGCTTTAGGAGATTTTGGGCTGAGACGATGGGGTTTTCTAAATATACAATCATATCATCTGCAAACAGAGACAATTTGACTTCCTCTCTTCCTATTTGAATACTCTTTATTTCTTTCTCTTGCCTGATTGCCCTGGCCAGAACTTCCAATACTATGTTGAATAGGAGTGGTGAGAGAGGGCATCCATGCATTGTGCTGGTTTTGAAAGGGAATGCTTCTAGCTTTTGCCCATTCAGTATGATATTGGTTGTGGTTTTGTCATAAATGGCTCTTATTATTTTTACATACGTTCCATCAATACCTAGTTTATCTAGAGTTTTTAGCCTGAAAGGGTGTTGAATTTTATCAAAGGCCTTTTCTGCACATATTGAAATAATCATGTGGTTTTTGTCATTGGTTCTGTTTATGTGATGGATTACGTTTATTGATTTGCGTAAGTGGAACCAGCCTTGCGGATCAGGGATGAAGCCGACTTGATATTGGAGGATAAACTTTTTGATGTGCTGCTGGATTCGGTTTGCCAGTATTTTATTGAGGATTTTTGCATTGATGTTAATCAGGGATATTGGTCTCAAATTCTCTTTTTTTGTTGCGTCTCTGCGAGGCTTTGGTGTCAGGATGATGCTGGCCTCATAAAATGAGTTAGGGAGGATTCCCTCTTTTTCTATTAAGTGGAATAGTTTCAGAAGGAATGGTACCAGCTCCTCCTTGTACCTCTGATAGAATTCGACTGTGAATCCATCTGGTCCTGGACTTTTTTTGGTTGGTAAGCTATTAATTATTGCCTCAATTTCAGAGCCTGTTATTGGTCTATTCAGAGATTCACCTTCTTCCTGGTTTATTCTGGGGAGGGTGTATGTGTTGAGGAATTTATCCATTTCTTCTAGATTTTCTAGTTTATTTGCATAGAGTTGTTTATAGTATTCTCTGATGGTAGTTTGTCTTTCTGTGGGATCCGTGGTGATATGCCCTTTATCATTTTTTATTGCATCTATTTGATTCTTCTATCTTTTCTTCTTTATTAGTCTTGCTAGCAGTCTATCAATTTTGTTGATCTTTTCAAAAAACCAGCTACCGGATTCATTGATTTTTTGAAGGGGTTTTTGTGTCTCTATTTCCTTTGGGTCTGCTCTGATCTTAGCTATTTCTTGCTTTCTGCTGGCTTTTGAATGTGTTTGCTCTTGCTTCTCTAGTTCTTTTAATTGTGATGTTCGGTTGTCAATTTTAGATCTTTCCTGCTTTCTCTTGTGGGCATTTAGTGCTATAAATTTCCCTCTACACACTGCTTTGAATGTGTCCCAGAGATTCTGGTATGTTGTGTCTTTTTTCTCATTGGTTTCAAAGAATGTCTTTATTTCTGTCTTCATTTCGTTATGTACCCAGTAGTCATTCAGGAGCAGGTTGTTCAATTTCCATGTAGTTGAGCGGTTTTGAGTGAGTTTCTTTTATTATTATTATTATGCTTTAAGTTTTAGGGTACATGTGAACAACGTGCAGGTTTGTTACATATGTATACGTGTGCCATGTTGGTGTGCTGCACACATTAACTCGTCATTTAGCCTTAGGTATACCTCCTAATGGTATCCTATGCAGCCATAAAAAATGATGAGTTCATGTCCTTTGTAGGGACATAGATGAAGCTGGGAACCATCATTCTCAGCAAACTATCACAAGCACAAAAAACCAAACACTGCATGTTCTCGCTCATAGGTGGGAATTGAACAATGAGAACACATGGACACAGGAAAGGGAACATCACACACTGAGTGAGTTTCTTAATCCTGAGTTCTAGTTTGATTGCACTGTGGTCTGAGAGACAGTTTGTTATAATTTCTGTTCTCTTACATTTGCTGAGGTGTGCTTTACTTCCAACTATGTGGTCAATTTTTGGAATAAGTGCAGTGTGGTGCTGAGAAGAATGTATATTCTGTTGATTTTGGATTGTGAGTTCTGTAGATGTCTATTAGGTCCGCTTGGCACAGAGCTGAGTTCAATTCCTGTATATCCTTGTTAACTTTCTGTCTCATTGATGTGTCTAATGTTGACAGTGGGGTGTTGAAGTCTCCCATTATTATTGTGTGGGAGTCTAAGTCTCTTTGTAGGTCTCTAAGGACTTGCTTTATGAATCTGGGTGCTCCTGTATTGGGTGCATCTATATTTAGGATAGTTAGCTCTTCTTGTTGAATGGATCCCTTTACCATGATGTAATGGCCTTCTTTGTCTCTTTTGATCTTTGTTGGTTTAAAGTCTGTTTTATCCGAGACTAGGATGGCAACTCCTGCCTTTTTGTGTTTTCCATTTGCTTGGAAGATCTTCCTCCATCCCTTTATTTTGAGCCTATGTGTGTCTCTGCATGTGAGATGGGTTTCCTGAATACAGCACACTGATGGGTCTTGACTCTTTATGAAATTTGCCAGTCTGTGTTTTTTAATTGGAGCATTTAGCCCATTTACATTTAAGGTTAATATTGTTATGTGTGAATTTGATCCTGTCATTATGATGTTAGCTGGTTATTTTGCTCTTTAGTTGATGCAGTTTCTTCCTAGTATCGATGGTCCTTCCAATTTGGCATGTTTTTGAAGTGGCTGGTACCAGTTGTTCCTTTCCATGTTTAGTGCTTCCTTCAGGAGCTCTTTTAGGGCAGGCCTGGTGGTGACAAAATCTCTCAGCATTTGCTTGTCTGTAAAGGAATTTATTTCTCCTTCACTTATGAAGCTTAGTTTGGTTGCATATGAAATTCTGGGTCGAAAATTCTTTTCTTAAGAATGTTGAATATAGGCCCCCACTCTCTTCTAGCTTGTAGAGTTTCTGCCGAGAGCTCCGCTGTCAGTCTGATGGGCTTCCCTTTGTGGGTAACCCGACCTTTCTCTCTGGTTGCCCTTAACATTTTTTCCTTCATTTCAACTTTGGTGAATCTGACAATTATGTGTCTTGGAGTCGCTCTTCTCAAGGAGTATCTTTGTGGCATTCTGTGTATTTCCTGAATTTGAATGTTTGCCTGCCTTGCTAGATTGGGGAAGTTCTGCTGGATAATATCCTGAAGAGTGTTTTCCAGCTTGGTTCCATTCTCCCCATCACTTTCAGGTACACCTGTCAGACATAGACTTGGTCTTTTCACATAGTCCCATATTTCTTGGAGGCTTTGTTCATTTCCTCTTATTCTTTTATCTCTGAACTTCTCTTCTCGCTTCATTTCATTCGTTTGATCTTCCTTCACTGATACCCTTTCTTCCAGTTGATGGAATCAGCTACTGAGGCTTGTACATTTGTCACGTGGTTCTTGTGCCATGGTTTTCAGCTCCATCAGGTCCTTCAAGGACTTCTCTGCATTGGTTATTTTAGTTAGCCATTCATCTAATTTTTTTTCAATGTTTTTGACTTCTTTGCCATGGGTTCGAACTTCCTCTTTTAGCTCAGAGTAGTTTGATCATCTGAAGCCTTCATCTCTCAACTCATCAAAGTCCTTCTCCCTCTAGCTTTGTTCCATTGCTGGTGAGGAGCTGCGTTCCTTTGGAGGAGGAGAGGAACTCTGATTTTTAGAGTTTCCCATTTTTCTGCTCTGCTTTTTCCCCATCTTTGTGGTTTTATCTACCTTTGGTCTTTGATGATGCTGATGTACAGACTGGGTTTTGGTGTGGATGTCCTTTCTGTTTGTTAGTTTTCCTTCTAACAGTCAGGACCCTCAGCTGCAGGTCTGTTGGAGTTTGCTGGAGGTCCACTCCAGAAGCTGTTTGCCTGGGTATCAGCAGCAGAGGCTGCAGAACAGTGGATATTGGTGAACAACAAATGTTGCTGCCCGATCATTCCTGTGGAAGTTTTGTCTCAGAGGAGTACCTGGCCATGTGAGGTGTCAGTCTGCCCCTGCTGGTGGGTGCCTCCCAGTTAGGCTACTTAGGGGTCACAGACCCACTTGAGGAGTCAGTCTGTCCATTCTCAGATCTCCAGCTGCGTGCTGGGAGAACCACTACTCTCTTCAAAGCTGTCAGACAGGGACATTTAAGTCTACAGAGGATTCTGCTGCCTTTTGTTTGGCAATGCCCTGCCCCCAGAAATGGAGTCTGCAGAGGCAGGCAGGCCTCCTTGAGCTGCAGTGGGCTCCACCCAGTTCCAGCTTCCTGGCTGCTTTGTTTACCTACTCAAGCCTCAACAATGGCAGGCGCCCCTCCCCCAGCCTTGCTGCCGCCTTGCAGTTTGATCTCAGACTGCTGTGCTAGCAATGAGTGAGGCTCCGTGGGCATAGGACCTTTTGAGCCAGACACGAGATATAATCTCCTGGTGTGCCATTTGCTAAGACTGTTGGAAAAGTGCAGTATTAGGGTGGGAGTGACCGGATTTTACAGGTGCCATCTGTCACCCCTTTCTTTGACTAGGAAAGGGAATTCCCTGACTCCTTGCACTTCCCAGGAGAGGCAATGCCTCACGCTGCTTTGGCTCATGCTCGGTGCACTGCACCCACTGTCTTACACCCACTTTCTGACACTCCCCAGTGAGAAGAACCTGGTACCTCAGTTGGAAATGCAGAAATCACCCGTCTTCTGCACCGCTCAGGCTGGGAGCTGTAGACTGGAGCTGTTCCTATTCGGCCATCTTGGCTCAACCCCCTAGTTAATTTTTGTGTCTTTAATAGAGACAGGGTTTCATCATATTGGCCAGAGTCGTCTTGAACTCCTGACTGAAGTGATCCACCCACCTCAGTCTCTGCAAGTGCTGGGATTACAGATGTGAGCCACTGTGCCTGGTCAATTGCTGGACGTTCATGATACACCTGGAGTATCCACAGTATCACAAGGGCCATTTTTTTCCATAATCCAATTTATTTATATTATTGGTAGTGAGCTAATGTTGATGTCCCCAAGGTAGCAATTTAGTGACTATACCCATGATAAACGTTTCCATGCATCACGTGGTCAACAGCATTTGCTACCAAGTGCCACGTTCCATGCTCAGCAGTGGGAACACAGGATGATGGAGACAAAGTTCCTGACCTTTAGCAGCAATATCGAACAAGTGAGATTGTCAAGAAAGAAGAAATCATTGTAAAACATACCATACCCCTACAATTCCGTAATCATGCTCCTGGATATTTAATGAAGTGAGTAAACCCACACCTGGATGTTTACAGCAACTTACTCATAATCGCCAAAACTTGGAAGCTAGCAAGTTGCCCTTCGGTCAGTGACTGGATAAGCAAACTGATCCATCCAGTCAGTGAACTATTATAAAGCTGTAAAAAGACATGAAAAATTCCTAAATGCACGTTATTGTACAAGTGAAAGAAGGCAATCTGAAAAGACTCATCCTGTTAGACATTCCAGAAAAAGCTTTTGCATTTTTCTAAGGAGACAGTAGAAAGCCCAGTGGATGCAAGGGGTTGGGAGCACAATGGGATGAATGGGAAGAGGACAGAGGAATTTTAGGGAAAGAAAACTACTCTCCATGATGCTCTAATGGTGGATACATGTCATTATCCCTTTGTTAAAATCCATAGAATGTACAAAACCAGCAATGATCCCTCATGTGAACTATGGACATTGGGTGATAATGATGTGTCCCTGTGGCTCATTGGTTGTGATGAATGCTCTGTGCTGGTGTGGGTGCTGATCCTGTGGGGGTGCTGTGTATTGAAGGGGGAAGAAGGTAGATGAGAACTCTGCAGTTTCTGCTTAGTTTTTCTGTGAATCTAAAACTGCTGTAAAGGAAAAAATAGGCTGGGTGTGGTGGCTCACGTCTATAGTCATAGCATTTTGGGAAGCCGAGGCAGGTGGATCACCTGAGATCAGGGGTTCCAGACCAGCCTAGCTAAAATGACAAAACCCTGTCTCTACTAAAAACTGATAATAATAATAATACAAAAATTAATCAGGTGTGGTGTTGCATGCCTGTAATCCCAGCTACTCTGGAGGCTGAGACAGGAGCATTGCTGGAATCCTGGAGGCAGAAGTTGCAGTGAACAGAGATCGTACCTCTGCACTCCAGCACGGATGACAGAAGGAGACTCCATCTCCAAAATAAATAAATAAATAAACTCAAGGCTGGGTGCGGTGGCTCATGCCTATAGGAACTCACTCCCAGCAATTTAGGAGGCCGAGGCAGGTGGATCGCTTGAGCCCAGAATTTCAAGACCAGTCTGGGCAACATGGTGAAGCCTGGTCTTCACTAAGAATACAAAAATAAGTCAGGCATGATGGTGCATGCCTGTTGTTCCAGCTACTAGGGGGACTGAGGCAGGGAGATCACCTGAGCCTAGGAGGTCAAGGCTGCAGTAAGCCGTGATCATGCCACTGCACTCCAATCTGGACAACAGAGTGAGACTTTGTCTCCAAATAAAATAAAATAAAATAAAATAAAATAAACTCAATATTTTTTAAAACTGTAATGTTTCCTTTCAAAGCTAAAATTGTATTATTCTAAATATATTTTAAAGAAGAAATGATTATTGTTCAGTGTCTTTAAAATTAGTTTTTAAAATCTCATTTGTTTTGACATTTCAAACCAAGTTAAGTATTCTTTTTCTCACCCTCCTTGAGACGGAGTCTTCCTCTTTCACCCAGGCTGGAGTGCAGTGGTGCATTCTTGGCTCACTGCAACCTTTGCCTCGCAGGTTCAAGCGATTCTCTTGCCTCAGCCTCCTGACTATCTGGGATTACAGGCACCTGTCACCACGCCAGGCTAATTTTTTGTATTTTTCGTAGAGACGGGGTTTCATCATGTTGGCCAGGCTGGTCTGGAACTCCTGACCTCGTGATCTGCCCACCTCGGCCTCCCAAAGTGCCAGGAATACAGGCATGAACCACCACACCTGGCCATTAACCATTCTTGAAATATCACGTTGCATTCTTTAAAAGTTCTAATCTTTCATATACATAAATTACAACACAAATATTTATACTCTAATAGTATTCACATTATAGTAAATTTTTTTTCATGCTCTGTCGCCCAGGCTGGAGTGAAGTGGTGCCATCTCGTCTCATTGCAACCCTCACCTCCCGGGTTCAAGTGATTGTCCTGCCTCAGCCTCCTGAATACCTGGGATTACAGGCGAATGCCACCACTCCCAGCAAATTTTGTGTATTTTTAGTAGAGATGGGGTTTCACCATGTTGGCCAGGCTGGTCTCAAAATCCTGAGGCTGCCTTGGCCTCCCAAAGTGCTGGGATTAGAGGTGTGAGACACCATGCCCGGCCATAATAATAAATCTTATTTTATCTTTTTTTTTGAGACGGAGTTTTGCTAGGGTTGCCCAGGCTGGAGTGCAATGGCTCAGTCTGAGCTCACCGCAACCTCCACCTCCAGGTTCAAATGATTCTCCCGCCTCAGCCTATCGAGTAGCTGCAATTACAGACGTGCGCCACCACGCCTGGCTAATTTTTTGTATTTTAAGTAGAGAAGGGTTTTCTTCATGTTGCTCAGGCTGGTCTCAAACTCCCAACCTCAGGTGATCCACCTGCCTCAGCCTCCCAAAGTGCTGGAATTACAGGTATGACTCACTGCACCTGGCTCATAATAGTACATTTTTAAAAACACCATAAAATATAATCCTTGCAACACTCAATTATACCATCTGGTCGGATCTATCAGCAGATGGCACCCGAGACATACGGATTGGAAATTTTGATCTTATTATGAATGAATCCAGTCCAGAAATGCCCACCCTGCCCCCTGCTGGCTCCTGGGGCTCTGCTCTTTGGGGCAATCATGATGAAATTGTGGCAGAGAGTAGAAGTTGAGCCCCATTGCATGCCCTGAGTTCTTGTTGCCTCTCTATTATCAGGAAAAGGAGGTGAGATTGAAAGATGAAAAGTGCTGGGACTTCTGCTGAGAAGAGAAAAAAGAACAAGATGTATTGATCTTACTGTATGCCAGACCCCATGCCAAGCCCTAAACATGAACCATCTCATTGGATCCTACCAAGGTCCCATAAGCTGTTGGACATCATCATCCTCATTTTACAGGAAGCTGAGGCTCTAGGCTAACATCCCTGACAGCAACACCAGCCCCTGAGTACACAGCAGGATCCTTCACTTGGGTGCCCATTATGCAGAATTCCTCAGCACAGGGAAGGTCACTCATCACCCACAGGCCCTTGATCGTTATCCACCCTTTGATGCTGTCAGATTCCAGAACACGCTGCACTAGTCTCTTCCTTCATAGGGAGAGAGGGGAGGTGTTATGAGAAAATCTCTCATCAATCTGACCTAGCTCCCCCAAAAGATGTAACTTTTAAAATGTCAGATGGAAATATTTAAAAAGTGTTATATGCCTGTATAGTTTTAGTATTTTACTTAAAGGGAATGTGGCTGTCTTTACTGGCTACAACCAGTTTAATTCAAGAAGGGCTGCTGGTCATCAGGAGAACAAGCAAGGGTTGATGCTGCCCAGAGTCTCCAGCTAATACACAATATGGACATCCCCTTCCAGGGCAGCGGGAAGAGAGTGGCTCCTTGTGCAGTGAAGCTGACATCCACCAACTAAGGCTTCTGGAAGCATGTGGAGACTCACAGGGAGTGGGCAGGGTCTCAGCATCTGGATAGCGGTGAAAGACCCTGAGAAGAAGGTGCTTTCCGTGTGGATTGGCTCACTGTTCTTGCCCAGCAATGTTCCAGGCCTTTGGTGTCCACCTAGTGTGTATTAACCCACTGAACAGCCACAGAAACTAACAAGGAGTTAACAGACATCTAAAGAAGTGAAGAACTGGAGGAGGCCAAGCCAAGCGTGGTGGTCCACGCCTATACTCCCTGCATTTTGGGAGGCCAAGGCAGGAGAATCACAAGCTCAGGAGTTCCAGATCAGCCTGGGGAAGACAGCGAGGCCTTGTCTCTACTAAAAAGAAGTATCCAGGTGTGGTGGCTCACACAGCTGTAGTCATAGCTACTCAGGAGGCTGAGGTGGGTGGATCGCTTGAACCCCGGAAATTGAGGTTGCAGTGAGGTATGATTGTGCCACTGCACTGTAGCCTGAGTGACAGGAGACCTTTAAAAAACAAACAAACAAAAAAGCCTGACACAGTGGCTCACACCTGTAACCCCAGCACTTTGGTAGGCCTACTTGCATGAATCACCCAAAGTCAGGAGTTTGAGACCAGCCTGACCAACATAGTGAGGAAACCCTGTCTCTACTAAACATACACAAATTAGCTGGGCATGGTGGTGCATGCTTGTAATCCCAGCTACTTGGGAGGCTGAGGCAGAAGAATCATTTAAACCCCAGGTGGAGGTTGCAGTCAGCTCAGATGGCACCATTGCACTCTAAACTCCAGCCTGGGCAACAAGAGTGAAACTCTGTCTCCAATAAAAGAATGGGAGGAAACTGATTACAATAACCAAATTTCATTTAAATGCCTTGATTTTCTTGGGCTGCATCTTATTGATTGGACAACTCAGTCAGTGCCTTTTGTTTTTTCCATCAATAACTGAAGATTCCTGAGGCTTAAACTGGAAAACAGGTTACTTAATAATAGAGGGCACCAGACAGATTCTGCTCAGTTTTCCTTTATTTCTGATTGTTTCTTTACAACCATCCATGCAAGAGTAACTCCCTCATGTATTCTCAAGCCTGAATTCCACTCTAGACATTCAGATTCCCATTTTCGACTCTACAGGACACAGGTCCCCAAAGTCCCATCGAATCCATGGCAACATTTCCCCCAAGTCCGGCCCCTGCTTGATCAGCTTTCCTTTCCCACTTTCAGAGCCTATGTGTGAAATGATGGGTTCTGTGCTCCCTTTAGGATGTACCTAAGACCTAGGTTTTAGTTTCCAAGTGTCCAGAAGAAAGCGTTTGACATACCCATCCAAATAGGCAGGCATTCAACAGCAGTATTGATCTGCCTCCAGGTCATAAAATGACCTGTTGCCACAGTCAGGGCAGTAGTCAGTACAGAACAAGATCCTCTTGGGGTGCCTTAAGTCCCTCACTCTGTTCATCAGCTCAGCCCTAATTTGAGCAAATCTGCTCCAGCAGAGAGTACCATCAGCACCATAACTCTCCCGGGGGGCAGGATACAGCTCCACGCATAAGTTTTTGAGTATGATTGTGTGGCTCAGCAGGTTCTCCAGGGTGGCCATGCAGATGGGATTTCCACAGAAGCTGAAGGTGTTGAGCTCAAAGCAGCGGCTCAGGGCAGGCAAGATGGCGTTGACTTGGGAGTCTATGATGCCACAGTCATCTAAATCCAGGTACTCAAGGGTGGCTGCAACTTTTTCTAGGAGAATTTGGAGAGGCACAAGACTGTAATTGGTCAGTCTGATGCCACTCAGGTCCAGGGTCTTTAGTTGACTGATACTCGGGCACTGGGATAGATGCTTCAAGTCTGATTCCAAAAGCACACAGTTAGTTATTGTGAGGAACTTTAACGAGGTCTTCAGACAGCTGGGGAGAGAGAGCAAGAAGTTAATTCTGGGGAATCATAGGGGTGAGTGGAGGGTGGTGGGGAATGGCTTCAAGGTAATGGATGGAGACCTTTTTGCCCAAGTCCAGGGTCATTCTGATGGCCTGATGGTCAACACTTAGGATGATGTGTGATGAAGAGCTTTGCCACCGAGGTCAATTCCACTTTAGACCCGGCCCAGTAACTCACACCTGTAATCCCAGCACTTTGGGAGGCTGAGACTGGTGGATTCCTTGAGATCAGGAGTTTGAGACCAGCCTGCTGAACATGGCAAAACCTCCTCTCTACTAAAAATCCAAAAATTAGCCAGGTGTGGTGGGGGGAGCCTGCAATTCCAGCTACTTGGGAAGCTGAGGCAGAAGAATCGCTTGAACCCAGGAGGTGTAGGTTGCAGTGAGCAGAGATCATGCCACTACACTCCAGCCTGGGTGACAGAGAGAGACTCTGTATTAAAAAAAAAAAAGGAGAAAAAATAATTCCATTTGAGGCTGAGTCACTTCACCATCATTTATAGGAATGGATCAAGTTCACAGAATCCCTAAAGCTCCCTTTCCTCATCTGTCAGGCAGAAAACCACATCCCTGGGCCACAGGAGCCCAGTGGAGATTCAGGCATAAAGGACAAACCCAGACAGGATCCTGCAACATCAGCTACGGTGGGCGGGCTGCAGGCGTCCCTGACATGCCTGTATCATCAGCAAACCATCTATCACTTTCACCATTCTTTGTGCCTGCACCCTGACCCTCTGTTTCAGAATCATGCATTGCCTAGATAATTAATTTACCTGGAGCTCAAAAGAAACTTTTACAACAGGGAATTAGAGATGGGATCATTCATGTTCACCAAACTGTGGGGCACAAAGCTGATTTTCTGACAAGTGCAGGTTTGCTGAACATTCCCCTCTTCAGTGCCCACTTCACTTCCCTACTTCACATCATCTTCTTAAAAATTATCTTGTTGGCTGGGCGTGGTAGCTCTCGCCTATAATCCCAGCACTTTGGGAGTCCATGGTGGGTGGATCACCTGAAGTCAGGAGTTGGAGAATAACCTGGCCAACATGGTGAAACCCTGTCTCTACTTAAAATATAAAAATTAGCCAGGTGTGGTGGCTCACGCCTGTAATCCCAGGCACTCAGGAGGCTGAGGCAGGAGAATCGCATGAACCTGGGAGGCAGAAGTTGCTGCGAGCTGAGATGTCACAACTGCACTGTAGCCTAGACGATCAAAGAGAAACTCCATCTCAGAAAAAAAAAGTTATCTTGTTTGTTTTTACTTTTGTTTATTCATTTCTGACAGGGGTCTTGGTATGTTAGCCAGACTGGTCTTAAACTCCTAGGCTCAAGCTATCCTCTTGCCTCAGACTCCCAAAGTGATAGGATTACAGGCATGAGCCACCGCCCCTGGCGTATTTTTCATCATCTTAACTTAGACACACGTCCTCAGGAAGAATTCAGAAAGGCACCCTCACTAGATCTGAACCCCCCAGTAGCTGACTTCCTAGCATGGCAGCCTCTCCATAGCATCTCCCCTAGCTGATCCCTCTGCCTCTATTGGGAGGGTTGCATGATACCCATTTCAGGACAGGGCCGCCCACAGGACAATGCATGGACATTCTAGTGTCCCCTTCACTGTTTCATCCTCATAGGCTGGCTCACAGTAGATGCCCACTAGTGTTTACTGTAACAGGCTCTGCTGTGGTCTGCAGAGAAAGCTCACCACCCTCCCTCACCTGAGCAGCTGGTCCAGGTGGCCTTCGAGGAAAGAAACAGAGTTCATATAAAGCTTTTGGAGGCAGCGCAGCTTGAGGAACTGAGTGGTGAACTGGGTAACAATCTCCTTCTTCTGCTCTGGGGAAACGTAGCGAGAGACATCCATGTGGGAGAGAATGAGTTTCTGAAGATTCCTCATGTGGCCCAGGTATGGGGTAAACTGTGTCAGGATGGGCAGTACCCACTTGCAATTCACTTCCACCTCCTGGATACAGTCTAGGTTCACCATTTTCAGGATGCTTCTGATATTGCGGAAGGGCATTCCCAAAATTTTCAGCTTCTTACAGCACAGGTGTAGTAAATCTTTCCTCTGCTTGACCCATAGAAGGAGGCAGGTGAGGTATTCATCCAGAGTCCTGTTCTTGAGCCAAAGTTCTACGAACACAGTCAAGGGCTGCCGTCCTTTCATCCTTGGACAGTCCTCCACTGGTTTTTTGTTCCTCTTGGCATTGAGGAAGCACCCATGGGCCATAGCTTCAGACCAAACCATCCAGAAGTTCTCACAGACATCCTGTAAATCCAGCACTTGAAGTTTCCACCTCCTGTGGGAAAATAGAGGTGAGACTGAGAATTTCAGAACTCATTTCTGAACTTAAACTCCACATCCTGGATAGCAGCTCCTCCCCTCCCTGCTTCTTGTCCCTCTCTCTGACTTTTCTTCACTCTGTTTTCCCCTTGGATCCTGCCCACTTCCACATTGTTTTGTTTTTTTTTTGAGACCAAGTCTCCCTGTGTCGCCCAGGCTAGAGTGCAGTGGTGTGATGTCACCTCACTGCAACCTCTGCTTCCCAGATTCAAATGATTCTCCTGCCTCAACCTCACAAGTAGCTGGGATTACAGGAGCCCACCACCATGCCCAGCTAATTTTAGTATTTTTAGTAGAGTTGGGGTTTACCATGTTGGACAGGCTGGCCTCCAACTCTTGACCTCAGCCTCCCAATGTGCTGGGAATACATTGTGAGCCACCGTGCCCGGCCCAGTTCTCACTTTTCATGGTGCCTTTCAGTGCCATTAGAGGAGAGGTTCCTGTTACCTCCATGGACCTTGCGTGGTGAGCAGTGCTTTCCCTGAGGAGCTGGTGAATGGCCAAGTCCTCTCGGCTTCCTCACCACCACCATCCCCCTTGGGCCTCCTCACTTCTCACGACCCAGCTGTTCCTTCAGTTGGACACCTGGGCCCTCCCCACCAGCCCACCTGGGCCACCTCACCTGGGACGAACCCCTAGGTTAAGCAGTGCATCCAGCCCATCGAGCACAGCTTGGAAGGCCTCCAGACAAGGCATCTTTATCAGAGGCCTCAGAGGGAGGCGGCGGAAGGGCCAGGACTGCACCATCAGCTTCAGGGCCTCACAGCGTCTCCTGCTGAAGGCCTCCATGAACAGTGGGGGGAAAAGTTCTGTGGGCAGCTCCTCCAGGGTGGACATGGCCAAAGCTTGGTCCCTTAGCAGGCTCCGCCCTGCAAGCTCCAGGAGTCTGGGTGGAGTCCAGATGCTCATCTTCATGAATCTGCAGGGAAAACTTCCAGAGGACAAACCCAGAGAAAAGGCATCTCTCTCGGGCCAAGCCCATGCAATCTCATCCTCTCCTATGGCCAAACTCACTGCTCTGGCAATGGTGAAAGAGTCCTCAGTTTACTCCAATTCTACTCTGTACTCAGTGGCCATTAAGCCAGCATTCTGCCTCTGCTGCATCAGCATGAGCGTCTCCGAAGCAGTGAGGAAGCAGGGCCACCACGAGCCCTTCCTTTCTATCCAGTGCTCCATCCAGTGACTAGTGAGTGTGGAGGAACCTGAAAGTGAACCCCTCCTACCATTGGGGGAAACTACTAATTACTCAAGGTTCTAAAACAATGGGAATGGGAATGTCACAAGCCTACATGCCCACATTTTCAGTTCCTACAAATAAGCTTGTTGGGAACATTCATGGGGCATCCCTAGAACAGGTTCTATTTGTTTTCTTTTCATTATTTAAGCTTGCTTTCTCTTTCTCTCTCTTTCTTCTTTCCTTCTTTCCCTCTCTCCCTCCCTTCTTTCTTTCTTTCCCCCTCTCTCTCCCTTTTTTCTTTCTTGTCTTCTTTCCCTGCCTCCCTTCTCTCATTCTCTCTCTCTTTCTCTCTCTCCCTCTCTCACTCTTTCTGACAGAGTCTTGCTGTGTCACCCAGCCTGGAGTGTAGTGGTGGGATCTCAGCTCAGTGCAGCCTTGACCTCCCAGCTCAAAGGATTCTTCCTCCTCAGCCTCCCAAGTAGCTCGGACCACAGTTATGCATCACCACACCCAGCTCATCTTTTATTTTTTGACTTTTTGTAAAGACAGTGGATTTCGCTATGTTGTCCAAGCTGGTCTTGAACTCCTAGTCTCAAGCAATCTACCCCTCTTGGCCTCCCAACATACTGGGATTATAGGTGTGAGCCTCCACCCCAGCCTCATTATTGAAAATTTCAGTGAGAAGCTTTGAAAGCTATGTGACACTGTTATGCATCATTCTCAAGATAGATGTTTCCAATGCACACTTGTTACACATGTTCAAACTGAACCACTTTGGCTGGGTGCAGTGACTCACACCTGTAATCTGAGCATTTTGTGAGGCCGAGGCAGGTGGATCATCTGAGATCAGGAATTCAAGACGAGCCTGGCCAACATGGTAAAACCCTGACTCTACTAAGACAGCAAAAATTAGCCAGGTGCAGTGGTCTGCGCCTGTAGTCCAAGCTACTAGGGAGGCTGAGGTAGGAGGATCACTTGAACCCAGGAGGCAGAAGTTGCAGTGAGCTGACATTATACCACTCCACTCCAGCCTGGGAAATAGGCTAGATTGAACAGAGAGACAGAGAGAGCTACATTTGACTAGACTTCTTAATCTCTACCCAGTTAATCCTTATTGGATTTTTGGCTTTCTTAAAGATTAACTGATCGAATTAGATATTGATCCATCAAAATGAAAGATTTAGGGATAGGGTGAAAGTCCAGGACTCATTCACTGATTCCCTTCACAAACATGGAGTTTTACTAATATGTGTCCTTCAAAGTCCTGAGTGTGAGACAGGGAAGGGTTGAATCTCTTCCTGATATTAGACAGAAAGAAAGAAAACTTGAAAGTATCTTTGTTGAGGGATCCTTGGCCACATCAAATTTATCAAAATATTTCAGAGTTAAAACAGTTTTCAAAGACAGAGATGACAGTCCCTAAGAAAACACAATAGAAATCTTCATGTATCCGATGATCACCTGGGTCATATAATTGTTTTTGGTGCTGAGGGAGCTGAGTCTCACTTCGTCGCCCAGGCTGGAGTGCAGTGGCACCATCATGGCTCACTGTTACCTCCGCCTCCAAGATTCAAGCAATTCTCATGCTTCAGCCTTCCACATAGCTGGGACTACAGGCATGCACCCCCCACAGCCATGCCTCCATTTGGGTGGAAGAGGATGTGATTGGTTTAAAATTAAGGTCAAAGATCCTTTTTGATTGATTTTGTTTTTGTTTTTGGACAGAGTGTCTCTCTTTTGCCCAGGCTGGAGTACAGTAGTGGTGTGAGCATGGCTCACTGCAGCCTCAATCTTCTGGGCTCAAGTGATTCTCCCACACCAGCCACCCAAATAGCTGGGACTACAGATGCATGGTGACTCACAGCTGTAATCCCAGCACTTTGGGAGGCCAAGGCAGGTGGATCACTTGAGGTCAGGTGTTCGAGACCAACCTGGCCAGCGTGGTGAAACCCCACCTCTACTAAAAATACAAAAGTTAGCCAGGCATGGTTTCAGATGTCTGTGACACCAGCTTCTGAGGATGGAGACTGAGGCATGAGAATTGCTTGAACCCGGGAAGTAAAGGTTGCAGGGAGTTGAGATCATGCCACTGCACTCCAGTCTGGGCAACACAGTGAGACTCCATCCCCACCCTCAAAAAAAAAACGTTGTGCAGAGGAGGGTTTTTGTCATGTTGTCCAGGTTGGTCTCAAATCCCTGGGCTGAAATGATCCTCCCACTTTGGCCTCCCGAAGTGTTGGGGTTAAAGGCATGAGTCACTGCTCCCTTCAAGAATTTTAAAATGGCATCAACCAAAGCACAATCAACTTTTTTGAAATAAAGACAGAACTGCCTTTAGAGGAAAAAATTCAAAGCTTCCAATTGTTCATATAAAAAAAAAAAAAAAAGGACAGGATATAGCTCTGTGCCATCGTAGGCTGCACTGTCACCATCCCAGACCGACTGACTGTAGGTCAGATGGGAGTGTCCTTACAGAAATTAGTGACTTACCAGATCTGGATGTAGTCTAGAAGGTTCTCAGATCTCAGGAAGAACCAAGCAGGAACTCCAGGCTTGAAGACTTTGGGTCTCTCCTGTGGGTCCTTAGAAGCTTTTACTGACCTTTCTAATCACAACTCCCACCCACGCCCCTCCACGTATGCACTGCTAGCTTCCAATCAAAAAGCAATATCTGATTGCATTTGTGAAGCTCCACCCAGTTAATCCTGATTGGGTTTTTGGCTTTCCCCAGATTAATGGATTGAGTCAGATATCCATTCATATCACATATCTGTATTCAGTTCGTGAAGCAAGAAATTGACAGTGTTAGGGATAGGGTAGAAGTCAAGAATACATTCATTCAAGGGTGGGCGAGGTGGCTCATACCTGTAATTCCAGCACTTTGGAAGGAGAAGGTGAGTAGATCACCTGATGTCAGGGGTTCAAGACCAGTCAGGTCAAAAAGGTGAAACCCCGTCTCTACAAAAATACAAAAATTAGCTGGGCATGATGGCAGGCACCTGAAACCCAGCTACTTGGGAGGCTGAGGCAGGAGAATTGCTTGAACCCAGGAGGCAATGGTTGCAGTGAGCCAGATTTGTGCCACTGCACTCCAGTCTGGGTGACAGAGGGAGATTCTGTCAAAAAATAAAAAAATCATTCATTCATGAACTCCACAAACACTGATGGTATTTTATTAATATGTGAACTTCATAATCTTGAGTGTGAGGCAGGGAAGGATTTGATCTGTTCCCAACATTAGACAGAAAAATAAAATCTGAAAGTAGTGTTGTTAGGAGATCTTTGGCCACATCAAAATATAAAAATGCTTTCTACTTTAAAAAGCTTTATAAAAACAGAGGAGTCATCCCTACGATATCAGAATAAAAATCTCAATGTATTGAATGGTCTTTGGGATTTTATATAACCTAAGGTAGCAGATTACATGCTCGTTCTGGTGGAGGAGAGGTGCTACTGAGGGCGTGAGTGGTCTCAGTGCTTAGGTTAAGGCTTCTTTGGAAGAAATTGAAACCACATCGATAAACTTTATAAATTTAATCAGTGAAGAAGGGAGGGAGAGAAAGAAAAATAAACCAAGCTTGCAACACATTCAGCATTCATCAGGAGGTCTTCTTGCTCTCTGACCTGGTTCCTCATGGTTGCTGGCAGCCTACTGTTCCAAAATCATATAGACCTTAGATTACAGTTCCCCTTAACTTCCCTGCAGACAACGATTCAAGCATTGTAAAACATTAACTTTTTCATCTGAGATATTCTTTCAGGTTCTGCATGTCAGTGAAACTACTGATGCCAGCTGATCTGAAGGGCCATGCAATGCACCAACTCACCAAAGAATGCAGTTTCTACATCCTGTTGACTTCTTCCCTCTTACCGCTACCCCAACTTTCCGGCCCCTTGCTATCCAGGATCCACTGGAAACCTTCAGTACTCCTTGGGGAGATGAATTTGAGGATCTCCTCCTAGCTTCTCATTCAGCCACCTTGTGATCATTAAACTCTCTGCTGCAAACCCTGCTGTCTCAGAATATTGCTAAGCTACTGTGCAGCAGGCATAGGAACCTGATGGTCCTGTAATAAAGTCATGTCAAAATTACAAATGGAAGTGAGGGTGGAGCTGGTCAGGGTTGAGCTGGGTTTTTAATGGGAACCTGGGAGTGAAGCAAGACTTGCTGAACATGTTGGGGGTTATTGAGTGGGTGTAAGAGGAATCTATCTAACATTGCACTGATGCCCTTTTGGTTTTAATCCTTATGACCAAGTATGAGTCTTTCAAAACAATTTGTATAATCCTCCTTATTTTTCCTTTCAAAACCTTCAACTTCCTTTATCTCCCCAAATAATCTCGCATCTATTGCCACTTCTTTGCTTACTTCATAATAAACTTTTTTTTTTACAGAGTCTTCTTTTCTGTTAAGTACACCATATATGTTGTTGCCACACAAGATGAATAACCTGGTTCTATGGACAGAAAGGGTCAAAAGGATCCCATTCCTCAACAGCTGGGGGTGATGTAAAGGTCATGGTTATTCTTTGTCATATCTGCACCTGCATATTGCCAGTGAAAACTTGCAGGTCACATTGGGCAGGCTTCCAAATTCACCACCTGTGGAAGGTCTTTCGCTTGGCTTACATCCTGTCCCTGAGTAAAGAGTCTGATCGTGAGTTCATGAGTGCTTCAAACTCTACAAGTATTGATGAAGGCTTCCACCCACTGACAGTGAGAAGGCACTGATTTGATGCTGATCATGAAGTTCTGCTGGTTGTCTTGCAAGGAATATGTTTTATTCTTTTATCTTGTCATCTAAAGCCAATGATTGTAACCTCTGTTTGTACCTTCCAATGGAAAAAACAAAAACAAAAACTCAACTCTATTTGACCCTTGTCAGGTCAATAAAACAAAAGAAAATTTAAAAAAATAATTGATAGGAGGAGTTCCTTTCCCAGCCCAGGCAATAGAGTGAGACTCCATCTCAAAAGGAAAAAAAAAAAAATGGCCGGGCACGGTGGTGGCTCACACCTCTAATCCCAGCACTTCAGGAGGCCAAGGCAGGTAGATCACGATGCCAAAAATTGAGACCATCCTAGCCAACATGGTGAAACCCTGTCTCTGCTAAAAATACAAAAATTAGCTGGGCATGGTGGCGCCCACCCATTGTCCTAGCTACTCGAGAGACTGAGGCATGAGAGTCACTTGAACTCAGGAGGAGGCGGTTGCAGTCAGCCAAGATTTCACCACTGCACTCCAACTTGGTGACAGAGCGAGACTGTCTCAAAACAAACAAACACAAACGAACAAACAAAGAAAAAAGCTGGAAAAATAAATTCTGAAAGAATTTCCATCTCTATGAATTCATCTTCAGAAGTGATAGCATTTCCTGCTTGGCATTTTTTGCCTACATTTTTGGCATAAGATCTATCAACAAAAAGTATGAACCCAGGTTTGTGTAATGGAATATCTTAAACATCAATAGGAGGAGTCAATAGTTCTGATGCCACACACACACATGTATGGTCTTCTCCATCATCAGAAAATGGCAACAAAGTGGTAGAGTTATGCAGAGTGTAGCATTTGAAATGGAGATTTGAAGGTGACAAGGAAAGGATTTTGTAAGACATTAGTGTACAAGTTGAGCAATGTTGGTTCCTGTCACAATATTTTTATTGATTTATTTATTTTATTCATTTATTTTTTGAGATGGAGTCTCGCTCCGTCACCAGGCTGGAATGCAGTGGCACGATCTCAGCTCACTTCGACCTCTGCCTCCCCGGTTCAAGCAATTTTCCTGCCTTAGCCTCCTAAATAGCCGGGACTACAGGTGCATGCCACTACACCTGGCTAATTTTTTGTATTTTTAGTAAAGACGGGGTTTCACCATGTTAACTAGGATGGTCTCAATCTCCTGACTTCGTGGTCTGTCTGCCTTGGCCTCCCAAAGTGCTGGGATTACAGGCCTCAGCCACCATGCCTGGTCGGTTCACATCAAAATTTAAGAGGTATTCAATTGCATATGAAATTTGTAGGCAAAGTTTATTTCTTTTTTCTTTAAAGCATTAATTAATTTATTTATTTATAATGTATTTATTTATTAATTTTTTTTTGAGATGGAGTTTCACTCTTGTTTTCCAGGCTGGAGTGCAATGGTGTGATCTCGGCTCACTGCAACCTCTGCCTCCCGGTTCAAGTGATTCTCCTGCCTCAGTCTTCCAGTTAGCTGGAATTACAGGCACAGGCCACCACACACAACTAGTTTTTGTATTTTTAGTAGAGACAGAGTTTCACCATGTTGCCCAGGCTGGTCTGGAACTCCTGACCACAGGTGATGTATCCACCTCGGCCTCTGAAAGTGCTGAGATTACAGGCGTGAACCACCGTGCCTGGCCTAAACTCATCACTTTTAATACTTTCTACATCACATGAGGAAGAAGAGCAGAAACACTTGAGTACTTCATGAAGGTCAAGGTTGGTATGAGTTTGGGTTCTAATATGATCAATTTCTGCTTCTAGGGAACCAAGCAGTTCAGGTTAAGGAAGGTCAGGAAACTCTAGGGTTTTCTCTCCCTCCAAAGAAAGCTTTACGCATCAACTTAACAGAGAAAGCAAATCTCATCCCCATGTTGTCACTTAATAAAAAGCCATACTTTCCTAAAAATGGTCCAAATGTCATTTGGACTGCTTCAAACACAGGAATTTTCTGAACTTCATGTGAAACCCCTCCTCAGAAATATTTTCCTTTCTCCAAGGGATTTGCTGATATATTGGCTGTATACTGGATATGGCAGCCCTGGTTTCCACCAATTCTGTACCTAAGTCTGCAATGATCTTAATCTCACCTTCTCCATTTTTATTTAAGGCTATTATAGAAAACAATTTACCAGAGAGTTATTTTAAATTCCATCAATATGGAGACATCAGAAATGTCCTCTAGCTGGATGTGGTGGCTCCTGCCTATAATCCCAGCACTTTGGGAGGCTGAGGTGGGGGAATAACCTGAGGTTGGGAGTTCGAGACCAGCCTAACCAACATGGAGAAACCCTGTCTCTACTAAAAACACAAAATTAGCCAGCTGTGGTGGTGCATGAATGTAATCCCAGCTACTTGGGAGGCTGAGGCAAGAGAATCGCTTGAACTCGGGAGGTGGAGGTTGCAGTGAGCTGAGATCCCACCATTGCACTCCAGCCTGGGCAACAATAGTGAAACTCTACCCTAAAAAAAAAAAAAGGCAGAAAAGTAAAGAAAAACAAAGAAGAAATGTCCTCTATTGTGAACAACCTCTGGGACAAAAGCATTCTGTCCAATAGAGACCTGGTGCATAGGTGGACAATTTTCATTCCAATGGCCTGTTTCAAGGGTGGCAGGCAACTCTAGCAGGGTTTCTGTGTTTACACCAAACTGGATTTGAGTTTTAATAGTAAGGGGATCTCCCCCATAAAAAACCAACAGAAAATAATGGATGCTATGAAGAATATGGAGAAATGAGAACCCTGGTACAACATTGGTAGTTATGTAAATTCGTACAGCTACTAAGGAAAGCAGTATGGAGTTTCCTCCAAAAAATAAAAATAGGATTACCACATAAACCATAAATCCCACTGCTGGATATATATCCAGAAAAAAAAAAAGAAATATATTCAGGAGATATCTACACTACCATGTTGGTCAGGCTGGTCTCGAACTCCTGACCTCAAGTAATCCACCTGCCTCAGCCTCCCAAAATTCTGGGATTACAGGCATGAGCCACTGCACTCAGCTTGCACTCTCCTATTTATTGTAGCACTATCCACAATAGCCAAAATTTGGAATCAACATAAGTGTCCATCAACAGATGAATGGATCAAGAAAATGTGGTAAATATACACAACAGAATATCATTGAGCTGTAAACATGAAGGAAATCCTGTCATCTGCGACAACATGGATGGAACTGGAGGGCGTTATGTTGAGTGAAGTAAGCCAGATACAGAAAGACAAACATGGATGTTTGCACTCATATTTGGGAATTAAAAAACACGAAACTTAAAAATAGTAAAATGACGGTTATCAGAAGCTAGGAAGGGTACTGGGAAATAGAGAATAAGAAGGGGATGGTTAATGGGAACAAAAACACAGACAGGAATAAGATCTAGGGTTCAGTAGCACAATAGGGCAACTCGTGTTGACAATAGTTCATAGTAAATTTCTACATAATTAAAACAATGGAATTGGAATGTTGCTAACACAAAGAAATGATAAATTCTTGAGATGGTGGCTATTCCTGTTACCATGATTTGAACATTACACATTTTATGCTTATATCAGAATTTCAGGCCAGGTGCAGTGACTAATGTCTACAATCTGAGCACTTTGGGAGGCTGAGGTGGATGGTTTGCCTGAAGTCAGGAGTTCAAGACCAGCCTGGTCAACATGGTGAAACCCCCGTTTCTACAAAAAATACAAAAAATAGCCAGGCATGGTGGCGGGTCCCTGTAGTTCCAGCTACTCAGGAGGCTGAGGCAGGAGAATTGCTTGAACCCAGGAGGCAGATTTCTAGAGACTTCTGATGTATAAATGTCTAAAACAGGTTGATCAATCATGGAAGACACCAGAAAGTTTCCATTCAGGTTCCATTTATTTTTGACATTTTTAAATAACCATCCTTGCAGGGGTAAGTCCTGCATCACTCTAGAACTTCAGGTTCCATTTCTAAGTCTAGGACACAGGTCCCTGAAGGCCTCATTGATGCCAAGTCAGCATTTTTACCCAGTCCTGCCCCTGGCTGAGTCACCTTTGTTTTTCCACTCACAGTGAGCACGTGCCTCAAATACGTGGCTGTGTGCTTCCTTTAAGAAGCGGCTGACCGGGCCCTGCTGCTCACACCTGTAAACCTGGCACTGTGGAAGGCCAAGGTGGTCAGATCACTTGAGGTCAGGAGTTTGAGGTCAGCCTTCGCCAACATCGTGAAGCCCTGTCTCTACTAAAAATACAAAAATTAGCCGGGCGTGGGGGCATACACCCACAACACCAGCTACTTGGGAGGCTGAGGCAGGAGAATCACTTGAACCCAGGAGGTGGTGCTTGCAGTGAGCTGAGATTGTGCCACTGCACTTCATCCTGAGGGACACAGTGAGACTCTGTCTCAAAAAATAAAATAAAATAAAATAAAAATAAAATAAAATAAAAAATATAAAAAATAAAATAAAATTTTAAAAAATGCACCCATGTACAATATTTTAGTTCCCAAGTGTCCAGAAGAAAGCTTATCCATCCCACGAACCAGGCCTTCCCTAGGAGCAAAGATGGAAGTCCACTTTCTCAGATGGCCATGAGCCACAGTTAGGGCAAGGGACGGGACCAAAGAAGATCCTCTTGGGCTGCCTGACTTCCCTGAGTGTACGCATCAGCTCAGCCCGAATTGGGGTGAGGATCTCCCAATTGACATGACCCTTGTAGTCAAGACTCTCCAGAGGGGCAGGATACAACTCCAGGCCTAACTTGCTCAGCCCACGTGTGTGACGCAGCAGGTCTTTCAGAGCATTCATGGAGGTCTCATTTCCATGAAAGTTGAAGGTGGTGAGCTGGGAACAGTGGCTCAGGGCAGGCAGGAGGACCCTGAGTTGGGGGTCCTGGATCCGACAGTCCTTTAAGACGAGGGTCTTGAGAGTAGCAGCAACTTTCTCCAGCAGAACTCCAAGGGGCTCAAGATTGGTGGTCCACATTAGGATATGAATCAGACGCAGCTCCTTTAGCTGACTGAGGCTTGGGTACTGAGACAGACACTCCATGTCCCGATCAGTTAGGTAAGCATCACTGAATATAAAGGCCCCCAAGGGGTTCTTGAGGTACCTGGGGAGAGCAAGAAGTTAGTTATGGGCAATGGTGCCAGTTAGAGGAGGGGGGTGGGAAATCATCTCAATGGTAAACTTGAAGTGGGCATTGAGTAATTCTGCACCTTACTACCACACAGGTGTTATAGTAACTGCAATGGGGAAGCCTGTTTTACCCAAACACAAGTTTGTTCCCATCATCAGATGATGGTCTGCATGCAAGGTGCTGCCTGATGAAGACTCAGATCATTCAGGGGCCACTCCATTTTAGGCTCAGTCCTTTCACCCTTGCCTGTGTGATTGGTACCACTCTCACACCTACTCCCTCACCCTCCATCCCAGAAGCATGCACTTCTGATATCAATTATCTTTCCTGGAGTTCAAAACAACGTTTTACAGACAGGGAATTAGAGCAGTTTGCTAAGCTGCTGAAGACAGAGCTGCTACTGTGGAATGCACAGGTTTGATGTACTTTCTCTTTTTTTTTTTTTGAGACAGTCTCACATTGTAACCTAGGCTGGAGTGTAGTGGCACCGACTCAGCTCACTGCAGCCTCCACTTCCCTTGCCTCAGTCTCCCAAGCAGCTGGGATTACAGGTGCCTGTCTGCATGCCCGGTGACATTTTTTTTTGTATTTTTAGTAGAGACGGGGATTCACTGTGTTGGCCAGACTGGTCTCAAATTCCTGACCTCATGATCTCCCTGCCTTGGCCTCCCGAAGTGCTGGGATTACAGGCATGAGACACCACAACCGGCCACACCTTCCCTTCTTTCATACCATCCTCTGTATGAAGAATGTGTTTTCATCATATTAACTTTATACACTGTTCCTCACAAGGAGTTCACAAATGCACCCTCACTAGATCTGAACCCTCAACTAACCGGCTCCCTACACACCTCTCTCTGTGGCATCTACCCCAGGCCATCCCTCTGCCCTTATTTGAGTGGTCTTGTGATACCCATTTCAGGATATAGAGCACTGAAGAGCATAATGAGTTGACATTCTAGCGTCCCATTCCCTATGACATCACCGGTGGCTGGCACACAGTAGATGCCCACTAACATTTACTGTGAAAAAGAACATAAGTCTGTGGTATGGTCTGCAGAGAAAGCTCACCATCATTTCTTACCTGAGCAGGTGCTCCAGGTGCTCTTTGATATTACTGATCTTTTTTATATAAAGCATCTGGGGGTAGTACAGGCAGAGGAATGGAGAGTCCAAGTCAGGAATGCACGGCCACTGGACGCTCACGTACAACTCACGCTCATAACCGAAGGCTAAAAAGAGTTCACGAAGATTGCTCATCTGGCTCAGGTAAGGGGCAAACTTTCCCGTTTTATTGAGAGAGCACTTTTTCCAGACTTCCAACTCCTGGATACTGTCTGGGTATATCCTTTCCAATAGATTTCTGAAACTTGAAGTGGGCATTGAGTAATTCTGCACCTTACTACAACACAGGTGCACTAGGCCTCTTCTGTAGTGGATCCACCCAAAAAGGTAGCTCAGGCATTCATCCAGTGTACTTTCCTTTAGGCAGAGGTCTATGAACACCTTCAAGGGCTGGCGCTCTCCCATCCTTGGACAGTCCTCCACTGTCTGCCTCTTACTCATGGCCTCTGGGGAGCAGGAGAGGACCCTGGCTCCAGACCATATGGTCCAGAAATTCTCATCAACATCCCTCAAATCCAGCACTTGAAGTTTCCACCTCCTATGAGTAACATAGGGGAAAAGCTCAGAATGTAGGCAAGGACCCACCCCTGACCTGAGCTTTCACTCCACATCCAGGACATCAGTCAGCTGCTCCTGTCCTCAGTGCTCCTCCTTCTGTCTCTTCTCCATCCTGCTCCCTCTTGGATTCTGCCTGGTACCCACTTCTAGTACCTTTACTTTCTGCTGGGAGGAAGCAAGCTCCTGTTTCCTCAGTGGACCCTGTATGGTGAGCAGACCTTTTCCAGAGGATCTGGGCAATGGCCAAGGCCTCTCATGGGCACCGTCAGAAGCCTCTGAGCCACCCTAGCTCCCCAACCCCACTACTCCTCCTGAGCCAGCTGTCCCTTCCCTGGATGCCTGGACCCTTCCCCGAAAGCCACCTGAGTCACCTCACCTGGGGCGAACCTTCTGGGCCACCAGTGTATCAAGTCCCCTCAGGACAGCTTGCAAGGTCTCCAGATGAGGTGTCTTCATCAGGGATCCCAGAGGGAGGCGGAGGAAGGGCCAGGCCTGCACCATCAGCTTCAGGGCCTCAAAACGTCTCATGCTGAAGGCCTCCATGAACATCAGAGGGAAGACCTCCCTGGGCAGCTCATCCAGGGTGAAGATGGTCAAGAACTGGTTCCTCAGCAGGCTCTGCCCTGCCAGCTCCAGCAGTCTGGATGGGGCCTGGAGGCTCATTCTGACAAATCTCCGAGGGAAAACTCTAGAGGACAATCAAGTGAAAAGGCAAGTTTCTCGGGCCATTCCCCAGCAAGCCCCACTTCTCCTAGGGCCAAAGTCATTTCTCTAGCACGTGTGAAAGAGCCCTCAGTTTACTCCAATTCCGTTCTGCAATAAGTGGCTACAGAGGCATGGTTCTGCCCTTCTGGTACCAAGAAGAGTGTGTCCCAACCTCTAAAGAGCAGGCAAGATCCTTCCTAGTCCATGAATTATTAGCCACTGTTGCAATAAACTCATAGCACTGGGAAATGTTACCGAGGATCTCTGAAGCTCGGATCTCATGCCCAGCTAATCTTTTATTTTTTGACTTTTTGTAAAGACAGTGGGTTTCACTATGTTGTCCAGGCTGGTCTTGAACTCCTAGACTCAAACATTCCACCCGCCTTGGCCTCCCAAAGTACTGGGATTACAGGCGTAATCCTCTTCCGGGACTCATTATTGAAAATTTCACCAAGAAGCTTTGAAAGCTGTGTGACAGTGTTATGCATCATTCGCAAGACACAGGTGTTTCCAATACACACCTCTTACGCATGTTCAAAATGAACCACTTTGGCTGTGCGCAGTGACTCACACCTGTAATCCCAGCACTTTGGGAGGCAGAGGCATTGGATTATCTGAGGTCAGGAGTTTGAGACCATCCTGGCCAACATGGTAAAACACTACCTCTACTAAAATTACAAAAATTAGCCAGGTGCAGTGGTCTGCGCCTATAGTCCAAGCTACTAGGGAGGCTGAAGCAGGAGGATCGCTTGAACCCAGGAGGCATAGGTTGCAGTTAGCTGAGATTATACCACTACAATCCAGCCTGGGAAATTGGCTAGATTCAAAAAAGAGAGAGAGAGAGAGAGAACTACATTGGATTAGACTTCTTAAGCTCCATCCAGTTAATCATGATTGGATTTTTGTCTTTCTTCCAGATTAACTATCAAATTAGATATTCATCCATGAAAGTGAAATATTTAGGGATATGGTGAAAGTCCAGGACTCATTCACTGATTTACTCCACAAACATGGAATTTTAGTAATATGTGACCTTTGTAGTTCTGAGTGTGAGATAGGGAAGAGTTGAATCTCTTCCTGACATTAGACAGAAAGAAAAAAACTCGAAAGTATCTTTGTTGAGAGATCCTTGGCCACATCAAATTTATCAAAATATTTCAGAGTTAAAACAGTTTTACAAAGATAGACATGACAGTCCCTAAGAAAACACAGTAGAAATCTTCATGAATCCAATGATCACCTGGGTGGTATAATTTAATTTTTTTCGTGTCGGGGTAGCTGAGTCTCACTTCATCACCCAGGCTGGAGTACAGTGGTGCCATCTCAGCTCACTGTAACCTCTGCCTCCCAGGTTCAAGTGATACTTATGCTTCAGCCTTCCATGTAGCTGGGATTACAGGCATGCACCTCCACACCCATGTCTCCGTTTGGGTGGAAGAGTTACAATGAGGATGTGATTGGTTTAAAATTAAGGTCAAAGATCCTCTTTGGTTAAGATTTTTTTTCTGTAATAGGGCCTCGCAATGTTGCCCAGGCTGGAGTACAGCAGTGGTATGAGCATGGCTCACTGCAGCCTCAATCTTCTGGGCTCAATTGTTTCTCCCATGTCAGCAACCCATACAGTTGGGAAGACAGATGCATGCTACCATGCCCGGCTAATTAAAAAATATGTATATTTTGTAGAGGCCAAGCACCAGTGGCTCATGGCTGTAATTCCAGCACTTTGGGAGGCCAAGGCAGGTGGATCACTTGAGGTCAGGAGTTTGAGACCAACTTGGCCAGCATGGTGAAACCCCACCTCTACTAAAAATACAAAAATTAGCCAGGCAAGTTGGCAGTTGGATGTAATACCAGATACTCAGGAGGCTGAGGCATGAGAATTGCTTGAGCCTGGGAGGCAGAAGTTGCAATGATTTGAGATCGTGCCACTGCACTCCAGCCTTGGAAACAGAGCGAGACTCCATCCCCCCTTCAATAAAGAATATTTTATAGAGATGGGTTTTTGCCGTGTTGTCCAGGTTGGTCTCAGACCCCTGGGCTGAAATGATCCTCCCGCCTTGGTCTCCCAAAGTGTTGGGGTTAAAGGCATGAGTCACTGCTCCCTTCAAGAATTTTGAAATGACATAAACCAAAGCACAATCCAATTTTTTGAAATAAAGACAAAACTGCATTTAGAGGAAAAAATGCAAAGCTTCAAATTGTTCATATGAGAAAAAAAACAAAACAGGATATAACTCTATGCCATCTTAGGCTGCACTGTCACCATCCCAGACCAGCTGACTGTAGGTCAGTTGGGAGTGTCCTTACAGAGAGATTAGTGACTTACCAGATCTGGACTCAGTTTGGAGGGTGCTCAGACCTCAGGAAGAACTAAGCAGGAACTCCAGGCTTGAAGACTTTGGGTCTCTTCTGTGGGTCTTTAGAAGCTTTTATTGACCTTTCTAATCACAACTCCCACCCACACCCCTCCACGTATCCACTGCTAGCTTCCAATCAACAAGTGATATCTGATTGCATTTCTGAAGCTCCACCCAGTTAATCCTGATTGGGGTTTTGGCTCTCCCCAGATTAATGGATTGAATCAGATATCCATTCATATCAGATATCCATATTAAGTTCATGAATCAAGAAATTGACAGTGTTAGGGATAGGGTGGGAATCAAGAATGCATTCATTCAAGACCGGGCAAGGTGGCTCACTCCTGTAATCCCAGCACTTTGGGAGGACAAGTTGGGTGGGTCACCTGAGTTCAGACATTCAAGACGAGCCAGGCCAACAAGGTGAAACCCCGTCTCTACAAAAATACAAGAATTAGACAGGGACGATGGCACATGCCTGTAATCCAGCTACTCAGGAGGCTGAGGTGGGAGAATCGCTTGAACCCAAGAGGCAATGGTTGCAGTGAACCAAGATTGCACCATTGCACTCCACTCTGGGTGACAGAGGGAGAATTTGTCGGAAAAAAAAAATTCATTCATTCATGAACTTCACAAACACTGATGGAATTTCACTAATATGTGACCTGCATAGTCCTGAGTCTGAAGCAGGGAAGGGTCTAATCTTTCCCAGATATTAGACAGAAAACTAAAATCTGAAAGTAGTATTGTTGGGAGATCTTTGGCCACATCAAAATCACAAAAATGTTTTATAGTTAAAATAGCTTTATAAAAACAGAGGAGTCGTCCCTACAAAATCAAAATAAAAATCTCCATGTATTGAATGGTCTTGTGGGTTTTATATCACCTAAGGTAGCAATTTTTTCACTCCTGCTGGTGGAAGAGAGGTGCCACTGAGGACCTGAGTGGTCTCAGGGCTTAGGTTAAGGCTACTCTGGAAGAAATTGCAACCATACTTATAAACTTTATAAATTTAATCAGTGAAGAAGGGAGGGGGAGAAACAGACATAAACCAAGCTTGCAGTGCATTCAGCATTCATCATGAGGTCAGCTTGCTCTCTGACCTGCTTCCTCATGGTTGCTGGCAGCCTGCTGTCCCAAAATCATGTAGACCTTAGATTACAGTTGCCCTTAACTGCCCTGCAGACAACAATTTAGGCCTTGTAAAACATTAACTTTTTCATTTGACATATTCTTTCAGGTTCTGCATGTCAGTGAAGCTACTGATGGCAGGTGATCTGAAGGGCCCTGCAAGGCACCAACTCACCAAGGAATGCAGTTTTGACATCCTGATGACTTCATACCTCTTACTGCCACCAAACTGCACCAACTTTCCAGCCTCTTGCTATCCATGATCCTCTGAAAACTCTCAGTACTTCTTGGGGAGATGAATTTGAGGGTCT
This sequence comes from Homo sapiens, assembly GCF_000001405.40. Classification (NCBI taxonomy): domain Eukaryota; kingdom Metazoa; phylum Chordata; class Mammalia; order Primates; family Hominidae; genus Homo; species Homo sapiens. Next base: position 12,899,689 of record NC_000001.11, read on the forward strand.
CCTCCCAGCTTTTCATTTTGCCACCCTGTGATCGTTAAACTCTCTGCTGCAAACCCTGCTGTCTCAGAATATTAGTATGCTACTGTGCTGCAGGCATAGGAACCTGATGGTCCTGTAAAAAAAGTCATGTCAAAATTACAAAGGGAAGTGAAGGTGGAGGCTGGTCAGGGTTGAGCTGTGTGTTTTAATGGGATCCGGGGAGTGAACCAAGACTTGGTAAACATGTTGGGGGTTATTGAGGGCGTGGAGGAGGAATCTTTCCAACATTGCACTGAGGCCCCCTTGGTGTTGATACTTGTGACCAAGAATGAGTCTTCCAAAACAGTGTATGTAATTCTCCTGATTTTTCCTTTCAAAACCTTTGTCTTCCTTTACCTCCCTGAATAATCTCACATCTATTCCCATTGCTTTGCTCATTTCATAATAAAAATCCTTTTTTTTTTTAAAAGAATCTCTTTCTCTGTGAAGTAGACCATATATTTTATTGCCACACAAGATGAGTAGCCTGGTATTATGGAGAGAAAGGGTCAAAAGGATCCCATTCCCCACCAGTTGGGGGTGATATAAAGGTCCTGGTTATTATTTGTCATATGTGCACCTGCATATTGCCAGTGAAAACTTACAGGTCACATTTTTCAGGAGTCCAAATTAACCACCTGTGGAAGGTCTTATGATTGGCTTACATTCTGTCCCTGAGTAAAGAATCTGATCTTGAGTTCATGAGTGCCTCAAACTCTGCAATTATTGATGAAGCTTCACCCACTTACAGTGAGAAGGACACTGATTTGATTCTGATCATGAAGTTTCACTGGTTGTCTTGCAAGGAAAATGTTTAACTTGTTATGTTGTCAGCTAAAGTCAATGATTGTAACCTCTGTATTGTACCTTCCAATGGAAAAAACAAAAACAAAACAAAAACTCAACTCTATTTGAGCCTTGCCAGGTCAGTAAAACAAAAGAAAATTTAAAAAAAAAAACTGATAGGAGGAGTCTCATTCCCTTCTTTTAACTTTTCTCACAAAAGCATTCCAACTTGTAACAGACTTTGGAACACACCCACTTTGTTGGTCTGTGTCTTCCACATTGATTCTCACATTTAGCTTCCAATGAAGATTTATTTAATTATTTCTGCCTTAAGCGCCTTACCTTCCACTGACACCAGGTTGCATGGTGACAGTTTGAACTGGGGTGGGATGAAAAAATATTTTTATGAATTTTATTAAATAATCCTTGCATGTCATCTCCATTGAAGAATGAATAGGGTCTTCTCCAAATATGTGCTGAGTATGGATGCATCCAATAAATGAAACTATTGTTTATTTCATATAGTAGAGCTATAGATGCATTCTATTTGCCTCGAGTTTCCAATGAACAAATGTCTAGTTTCAGTAAGTTCTCTGATTATATGGCAGAGGATAACATGGTCATGTTCTGATTCTGTGTCTATGTCAATACTTATAGCATTTCAGTCTTCATAATGTGTGTCAAATGAAAGAGTTCGATTCTAGGGGGAGTCTGGGACACTACCTAGATTAGACCCGGTTACACTAATGTTTCCTATGCATGGAGATAAGTTACAAGTAATGAAATCAACAATAGTCATAGGCCACCCATTTGCATCTATAGCTTCTGCTCAGTGCCAAGTCATTTAATTATCAATATTAACCAACCGTGTGTGAGAGCAGGTTCTACTATTAGTTGTGATCCTTCCCATTCATCTAAATGACTCCATAGCCAGTAATTGCTTTGGTTAGTGAGAATGGCTAAATTTTGAATAGGAGAACTTAGAAAGTGTTTGCTTTGACTGGTGAAAGTACGTAACAAAATAAAATGTAGGCTTGATCACTTTGTGTTAATACAAAACAAAACCAAGTCTCAGTCAATGGAAGGAGATCAAATGGAGTTTTGTCCCATTTTCTTAAAAAAGCTGTCTACCATGTGATGATGTCTGCTTCTAAGAAAGACTTTGTTCCTTGGTTATCCTTAATTTTAAGTCACCTGGTATGGTCCCATCCAATGCTGCTCATGGGCAGATTTCCCTTGGTGTCATTTTAAAAGATGCAGTCTCCAAATGGTAGGGCATGAAGGTCCAGTGATCATCGAAACCCTCCTTCACCAACTGGAAATAGGCTTTGAAAGGTCTTGCAGTACTGAGTCATATTGTTACTGAACGATGGGCTCACTCTCCTAAGTGCATAGAAAAGCAAAAAAGGCTGGGCATGGTGGCTGACACCTATATTTGCAGCACTTTAGGAGGCCAAGGTAGGCGGATCACAAGGTCAGGGGTTCGAATCCAGCCTGGCCAATATGGTGAAACCCTGTCTCTATGAAAAATACACAAATTAGCTGGGTGTGATGACCCATGTCTGTAATCCCAGCTACTTAGGAGGCTGAGGCAGAAGAATCACTTGATCCTGTGAGGCAGAGGTTGCAGTGAGCCGAGATTGCACCTCTGCACTCCAGCCTGGGTGACAGAGCAAGACTCCATTTTGGGAAAAAAAAATTTATTAACAGTTAACTGGGCTGGGCACAGTGGCTTATACCTGTAATCCCAGCACTTTAGGAGGCCAAGGTGGGCGGATCACAAGGTCAGGAGCTCCAGATCAGCCTGACCAATATGGTGAAACTCCCTCTCTATTAAAAATACAAAAATTGCTCTCCCTCTCCCTCTCCCCACAGTCTCCCTCTCCCCACGGTCTCCCTCTCCCCACGGTCTCCCTCTCCCTCTCTTTCCACGGTCTCCCTCTGATGCCGAGCCGAAGCTGGACTGTACTGCTGCCATCTCGGCTCACTGCAACCTCCCTGCCTGATTCTCCTGCCTCAGCCTGCCCAGTGCCTGCGACTGCAGGCGCGCGCCACCACGCCTGACTGGTCTTCGTATTTTTTTGGTGGAGACGGGGTTTCGCTGTGTTGGCCGGGCTGGTCTCCAGCTCCTAACCGCGAGTGATCTGCCAGCCTCGGCCTCCCGAGGTGCCGGGATTACAGACGTAGTCTCGTTCACTCAGTGCTCAATGTTGCCCAGGCTGGAGTGCAGTGGCGTGATCTCAGCTCGCTACAACCTCCACCTCCCAGACGCCTGCCTTGGCCTCCCAAGGTGCCGAGATTGCAGCCTCTGCCCGGCCGCCACCCCGTCTGGGAAGTGAGGAGCGTCTCTGCTCGGCCGCCCATCGTCTGAGATGTGGGGAGCGCTTCTGCCCCGCCGCCCCTTCTGGGAGGTGAGGAGACCCTCCACCTGGCAGCCGCCCCATCTGAGAAGTGAGGAGCCCCTCCACCCGGCAGCCACCCCGTCCGGGAGGGAGGTGGGGGTCAGCCCCCGCCAGGCCAGCTGCCCCGTCCGGGAGGGAGGTGGGGGGTCAGCCCCCCGCCCGGCCAGCCGCCCAGTCCGGGAGGTGAGGGGCGCCTCTGCCCGGCCGCCTCTACTGGGAAGTGAGGAGCCCCTCTGCCCGGCCATCACCCCGTCTGGGAGGTGTACCCAACAGCTCATTGAGAATGGGCCATGATGACAATGGCAGTTTTGTGGAATAGAAAAGGGGGAAAGGTGGGGAAAAGATTGAGAAATCGGATGGTTGCCATGTCTGTGTAGAAAGAAGTAGACATGGGAGACTTTTCATTTTGTTCTGTACTAAGAAAACTTCTTCTGCCTTGGGATCCTGTTGATCTATGACCTTACCCCCAACCCTGTGCTCTCTGAAACATGTGCTGTGTCCACTCAGGGTTAAATGGATTAAGGGTGGTGCAAGATGTGCTTTGTTAAACAGATGCTTGAAGGCAGCATGCTCGTTAAGAGTCATCACCACTCCCTAATCTCAAGTACCCAGGGACACAAACAGTGCGGAAGGCCACAGGGTCCTCTGCCTAGGAAAACCAGAGACCTTTGTTCACTTGTTTATCTGCTGACCTTCCCTCCAGTATTGTCCTATGACCCTGCCAAATCCCCCTCTGTGAGAAACACCCAAGAATGATAAATAAATAAATAAATAAATAAATATACAAAAATACAAAAATTAGCTGGGCATGGTGGTGCATGCCTGTAATCCCAGCTACTGGGGAGGCTGAGGCAGGAGAATCACTTGAACCTGGAAGGCCAATGTTGCAGTGAGCTGAGATCATGCCACTGCACTCCAGCCTGGGCAACAGAGTGAGACTCTGTCTCAAAGAAAAAAATAAAAATAAAAATAAAAAAGAGTTAACTGACAAGCAGATAGGAGACAAGTTCTAAACCTGTCTCCCCAATCTGGGGATGGTGGAGCAAGCTTGCATCATCTTTCCAACTGGTTTCAGATGATGCCAATTCAAACAGTCCGCCTGGCTGTGTTAATAGTTAAGAGGTTAAACCTTTTTCCCATCGGACATGCCTGAGCAATTTGGGCTTTGCGTCATCACCTGTAACAACTTAAGCAATGACTAATCTGTTGGAGTTGATCCTCTGGTTACATGATCAGAGCTAAAAAGTGCAGGGGATACATAATGTTCTATTATCAAAGGCATAGGTTCTCCAGTAAATACTTAATTATCAGTGTTTCTGATTGCAGTTGGTGAAAAAAAAATACCTTATGGGGGATCTGGCTGTGTTTTCCCATAGGGGGTGGTAAAAATTTCATTAAAGTAATCCAGTCTTGCTGGACATGATGGCTCACACCTGTAATCTCAGCACTTTGGGAGGCCGAGGCTGGTGGATCACTTGAGGCCAGGAGTTGAGCAATCTGGGCAACATGGTGAAACCCCGTTATCTACTAAAAATACAAACATTAGCTGGGTGTGGTGGTATGCCTGTAATCCCAGCTACTTGGGAGGCTAAGGCATGACAATCACTTGAACCCAGGAGGCAGAGGTTGCAGTGAGCTGAGATAGCACCACTGAACTCCAGCCTGGGTAACAGAGACTCTGTCTCAAAAAAAAAAAAAAAAAAAAATTAACCCAATCTCCTTTGTTAGTTTAGCTAATTTTAGTTTCAAGATACCATTTCTTCACTCGACCTTTGTAGAATACCAAGGATAATGAAGTTAATGGTAGTGCCATTGGATCTGAAAAATCTTATCTGTGTGATCACCTGCCCAGTAAACGGAGTTCTCCTACCACTGGAGATTTCTCCAGAGATGCCCCAGAAAGGAAACACATTTTATAACCATTTATTCACTATGGCTGTGGCATCAGCCTTTCTAAAAAGGTAAGCTACAACCCATCCTGAAAACAGACACACAATCACAAGAATTGTAGCCTTTTTACATGGCTCACTGACATCATTGGTCCATGACATTCCCCTTTCTTGCAGCTATATGTGTGTATGTCTATCTATTCCTATCTATATCTATACTTAATTTTTATTACCATGATTCACTTCCACTCCCCTTTCCATAGATAGCCACTCTACTCTTTGACCTAGCCTTGAATTTGCATGTGACCTCTTAGAATATAAGTATATAGAAAGTATTTAGAATATATACTTAAGATGGCTGAATAGGAACAGCTCCAGTCTACAGCTCCCAGCATAAGTGATGCAGAAGATGGGTGATTTCTACATTTCCAACTGAGGTACCAGGTTCAACTCACTGGGGAGTGCCAGACAGTGGGTGCAGGACAGTGGGTGCAGTGCACCGTGCGTGAGCTGAAGCAGGGCGAGGCATCGCCTCACCTGGGAAGCACAAGGGGTCAGGGAATTCCCTTTCCTAGTCAAAGAAAGGGGTGACAGATGGCACCTGGAAAATCAGGTCACTCCCACCCTAATACTGCGCTTTTCTAATGGGCGTAACAACTGCACACCAGGAGATTATATCCCACACCTGGCTTGGAGGGTCCTGTGCCCACGGAGCCTTGCTCATTGCTAGCACAGCAGCCTGAGATCAAACTGCAAGGCGGCAGCGAGGCTGGGGGAGGGGCCCCCACCATTGCCGAGACTTGAGTAGGTAAACAAAGCAGCCCAGAAGCTGGAACTGGGTGGAGCCCATCACAGCTCAAGGAGGCCTGCCTGCCTCTGTAGACTCCACCTCTGGGGGCAGGGCACAGACAAACAAAAGAAAGCAATAACCTCTGCAGACTTAAATGTCCCTGTCTGACAGCTTTGAAGAGAGTAGTCGTTCTCCCAGCATGCAGCTTGAGATCTGAGAACGGGCAGACTCCCTCCTCAAGTGGGTCCCTGACCCCCGAGTAGCCTAACTGGGAGGCAACACCAAGTAGGGGCAGACTGACACCTCACACAGCTGGGTACTCCTCTGAGACAAAACTTCCAGACGAAAGATCAGACAGCAGCATTTGCGGTTCACCAATATCCACTGTTCTGCAGCCTCTGCTGCTGATACCCAGGCAAACAGGGTCTGGAGTGGACCTCCAGCAAACTCCAACAGAACTGCAGATGAGAGTCCTGACTGTTAGAAGGAAAACTAACAAACAGAAAGGACATCCACACCAAAAACCCATCTGTACATCACCATCATCAAAGACCAAAGGTAGATAAAACCACAGAGATGGGCAAAAAACAGAGCAGAAAAACTGGAAACTCTAAAAATCAGAGTGCCTCTCCTCCTCCAAAGGAACGCAGCTCCTCACCAGCAATGGAACAAAGCTGGATGGAGAATGACTTTGATGATTTGAGAGAAGAAGACTTCAGAAGATCGAACTACTCCGAGATAAAGGAGGAAGTTGGAACCAATGGCAAAGAAGTTAGAAACTTTGGGAAAAAATTAGACAAATGGATAACTAGAATAACCAATGAAGAGAAGTTCTTAAAGGACCTGATGGAGCTGAAAACCATAGCATGAGAATTATATGACGAATGCACAAGCCTCATTAACATATGCAATCAACTGGAAGAAAGGGTATCAGCGATGGAAGATGAAATGAATGAAATGAAGTGTGAAGAGAAGTTTAAAGAAAAAAGAATAAAAAGAAAAAAACAAAGCCTCCAAGAAATATGGTACTATGTGGAAAGACCAAATCTATGTCTGACTGGTGTACCAGAAAGTGATGGGGAGAATGGAACCAAGCTGGAAAACACTCTGCAGGATATTATCCAGGAGAACTTCCCCAATCTAGCAAGGCAGGCCAACATTCAAATTCAGGAAATACAGAGAATGCCACAAAGATACTCCTCGAGAAGAGCAACTCCAAGACACATAATTGTCAGATTCGCCAAAGTTGAAATGAAGGAAAAAATGTTAAGGGCAACCAGAGAGAAAGGTCGGGTTACCCACAAAGGGAAGCCCATCAGACTATCAGCTGATCTCTTGGCAGAAACTCTACAAGCCAGAAAGAGAGTGGGGGCCAATATTCAACATTCTTAAAGAAAAATATTTTCAACCCAGAATTTCATATCCAGCCAAACTAAGCTTCATAAGTGAAGGAGAAATAAAATACTTTACAGACAAGCAAATGCTGAGATTTTTGTCACCACCAGGCCTGCCCTAAAAGAGCTCCTGAAGGAAGCACTAAACGTGGAAAGGAACAACCAGTACCAGCCACTGCAAAAACATGCCACATTGTAAAGACCATCAAGGCTAGGAAGAAACTGCATCAACCAATGAGCAAAATAACCAGCTAACATCATAATGACAGGAACAAATTCACACATAACAATACTAACCTTAAATATAAATGGGCTAAATGCTCCAATTAAAAGACACAGACTGGCAAATTGGATAAAGAGTCAAGACCCATCAGTGTGCTGTATTCAGGAAACCCATCTCACGTGCAGAGACACACATAGGCTCAAAATAAAGGGATGGAGGAAGATCTACCAAGCAAATGGAAAACAAAAAAAGGCAGGGGATGCAATCCTAGTCTCTGATAAAACAGACTTTAAACCAACAAAGATCAAAAGAGACAAAGAAGGCCATTACATCATGGTAAAGGGATCCATTCAACAAGAAGAGCTAACTATCCTAAATATATATGTACCCAATACAGGAGCACCCAGATTCATACTTTTTTTTTTTTTTTGAGCAGTAGCAAGATTTATTGCAAAGAGCGAAAGAACAAAGCCTCCACACTGTGGAAGGGGACCCGAGCGGGTTGCCCCACCCAGATTCATAAAGCAAGTACTTAGTGACCTACAAAGACACTTAGACTCCCACACAATAATAATGGGAGACTTTAACACCCCACTGTCAACATTAGACAGATCAATGAGACAGAAAGTTAACAAGGATATCCAGGAATTGAACTCAGTTCAGCACCAAGCAGACCTAATAGACATCTACAGAACTCTCCACCCCAAATCAACAGAATGTACATTCTTTTCAGCACCACGCCACACCTATTCCAAAATTGACCACATAGTTGGGAGTAAAGCACTCCTCAGCAAATGTAAAGGAACAGAAATTATAACAAACTGTCTCTCAGAACACAGTGCAATCAAACTAGAACTCAGGATTAAGAAACTCACTCAAAACTGCTCAACTACATGGAAACTGAACAATCTGCTCCTGAGTGACTACTGGGTACATAACGAAATGAAGGCAGAAATAAAGATGTTCTTTGAAACCAATGAGAACAAAGACACAACATACCAGAATCTCTGGAACACATTCAAAGCAGTGTGTAGAGGGAAATTTATAGCACTAAATGCCCACAAGAGAAAGCAGGAAAGATCTAAAATTGACACCCTAACATCACAATTAAAAGAAGTAGAGAAGCAAGAGCAAACACATTCAAAAGCTAGCAGAAGGCAAGAAATAACTAAGATCAGAGCAGAACTGAAGGAAATAGAGACACAAAAAACCCTTCAAAAAATCAATGAATCCAGGAACTGGTTTTTTGAAAAGATCAACAAAATTAATAGACTGCTAGTAAGACTAATAAAGAAGAAAAGAGAGAGGAATCAAATAGATGCAATAAAAAATGACAAAGGGGATATCACCACTGATCCCACAGAAATACAAGCTACCATCAGAGAATACTATAAACACCTCTACGCAAATAAACAAGAAAATCTAGAAGAAATGGATAAATTCCTCGACATACACACCCTCCCAAGACTAAACCAGGAAGAAGTTGAATCTCTGAACAGACCAATAACAGGCTCCGAAATTGAGGAAATAATTAATAGCTTACCAACCAAAAAAAGTCCAGGACCAGTTGGATTCACAGCCGAATTCTACCAGAGGTATAAGGAGGAGCTGGTACCATTCCTTCTGAAACTATTCCACTTAATAGAAAAAGAGGGAATCCTCCATAACTCATTTTATGAGGCCAGCATCATCCTGATACCAAAGCCTGGCAGAGACACAACAAAAAAAGAGAATTTTAGACCAATATCCTTGATGAACATTGATGCAAAAATCCTCAATAAAATACTGGCAAACTGAATCCAGCAACACATCAAAAAGCTTATCCACCATGATCAAGTGGGCTTCATCCCTGGGATGCAAGGCTGGTTCAACATACGAAAATCAATAAACATAATCCAGCATATAAACAGAACCAAAGACAAAAACCACATGATTATCTCAATAGATGCAGAAAAGGCTTTTGACAAAATTCAACAACCTTCATGCTAAAAACTCTCAATAAATTAGGTATTGATGGGACGCATCTCAAAATAATAAGAGCTATCTATGACAAACCCACAGCCAATATCATACTGAATGGACAAAAACTGGAAGCATTCCCTTTGAAAACTGGCACAAGACAGGGATGCCCTCTCTCACCACTCCTATTCAACATAGTGTTGGAAGTTCTGGCCAGAGCAATCAGGCAGGTGAAGGAAATAAAGGGAATTCAATTAGGAAAAGAGGAAGTCAAATTGTCCCTGTTTGCAGATGACATGATTGTATATCTAGAAAACCCCATCATCTCAGCCCAAAATCTCCTTAAGCTGATAAGCAACTTCAGCAAAGTCTCAGGATACAAAATCAATGTGCAAAAATCACAAGCATTCTTATACACCACTAACAGACAAACGGAGAGTCAAATCATGAGTGAACTCCCATTCACAATTGCTTCAAAGAGAATAAAATACCTAGGAATCCAACTTACAAGGGATGTGAAGGACCTCTTCAAGGAGAACTACAAACCACTGCTCAATGAAATAAAAGAGGATACAAACAAATGGAAGAATATTCCATGCTCATGGGTAGGAAGAACCAATATGGTGAAAATGGCCATGCTGCCCAAGGTAATTTATAGATTCAATGGCATCCCCATCAAGCTACCAATGACTTTCTTCACAGAATTGGAAAAAACTACTTTAAAGTTCATATAGAACCAAAAAAGAGCCCGCATTGCCAAGTCAATCCTAAGCCAAAAGAATAAAGCTGAAGGCATCATGCTACCTGACTTCAAACTATACTACAAGGCTACAGTAACCAAAACAGCATGGTACTGGTACCAAAACAGAGATATAGACCAACGGAACAGAACAGAGCCCTCAGAAATAATGCCGCATATCTACAACTATCTGATCTTTGACAAACCTGACAAAAACAAGAAATGGGGAAACAATTCCCTATTTAATAAATGGTGCTGGGAAAACTGGCTAGCCATAAGTAGAAAGCTGAAACTGGATCCCTTCCTTACACCTTATAGAAAAATTAATTCAAGGTGGATTAAGGACTTACATGTTAGACCTCAAACCATAAAAACCCTAGAACAAAACTCATAGGTGTTCTCACTCGTAGGTGAGAATTGAACAATAAGAACACATGGACACACGAAGGGGAACATCACACACCGGGGACTGTTGTGGGGTGGGGGGAGGGGGGAGGGATAGCAATAGGAGATATACCTAATGCTAAATTATGAGTTAATGGGTGCAGCACACCAACATGGCACATGTATACATATGTAACAAACCTGCACGTTGTGCACATGAACCCTAAAACTTAAAGTATAATAATAATGAAAAAAGAATATATACTTGCATTTTGTGTGTGTATTTATTTTAATCCACGTATATGCTCTAGTGTATGGTGCTACAGAAGAGGGCCTGACAATTAATTGTCCAGTCCCAGACACTTTGGAGAGTGAAGAGACGTGTTGTTATAATTAATTGCTTTTTTTTTGGAGATGGAGTCTCACTCTGTTGCCAGGCTGGAGAGCAATGGTTCGATCCAAACCATATCACAGGGGGTAATGCTGTCAGACAACGTATTTCTATTTCACTAGTAAAATTTCTTTGGAATAACAGATTTGGCAGTGAATATAAACATAGCAAACATTAGACCTGATGCTCTGGACCCCAACTCTTGCACAAGCCTCTGACTGTGGAGTTTTATTTGAAAGGATGAAAATGAGCAGCACATTGCAGGGACTGGGACAGTATCATGTCACCGCCAAAGATGTTGACAAACAGACATTCCGTCATTCCAGTCCCACCACTTACAGGCTGTCTGGCCTTGAAAATTTCTCCCTCTCTCTTTGAATGTGTCTCTTTCTCCATCAAATGTGTAGAAGGATAATCTCAATCTTCAGGTAAAAATGCTGAGCCCAAAGCATGGGGCATAATAAACCCTCCATAAATGTTGGCTACTTTTGTTGACATTCAAAGACAACAGGCATAATCAGGAAAACAGTTGAGGCCACAGGGGATAACTCAGCCCTGTGCCAACCACTCCCTCTGCCAGGACACAAGCTTCACATCCACCCCAGGAAGAATTAAGAGCAAGTCCTGCTGACTCTGCCTCCAGGACGTCCCTATGCTGTCCATGGCCACTCAAGTGGACACCAGGACCTCCTGTCTGGACAGTGCAAGAATCTTCTGAAGCGTGTCCCTGCCCTCTGGTTGTCCCCTCAGGGAACACGGTCCTCTCAGCCACCTCGGGGATGTGGAAGATAGGCTTCAAGTGGCCTCACAACCCTAATCCCAAACTGCCAATGACCCCTGAGTCACCCTTGCCCCTGGCTGCACCTCTCCAGTCTCATCTCCCTGAGCCAATTCACAACCTGCCAGTTCAGACACTGGTCTTCTCATTCTCTCTGTGTTTCCCCTAAAGCACGTGAACTAGTCATTTTGTCCTTCTTGCTGGGGTCTGAGTCACTGGCCAGTCAAGGCCAAATGCTGGATCAATGAGACAGGAGGAGGCCAATGACTCCAGGCCCCAGGTGAGTGAAAGGGAGGCTTTTATGAACTGGGTGCTATGGGAGAACCGCAGGCCCAGTGGGCATCCCTACAATGACCTCATGGTGTTTACATGTTTATGTGTGTGTGTGGTCAGCTAGGAAGTCACAGCTCTCCAGCATGGCTCCATGGCACAGAAAAGTAAAATATCCCATGTCTCTAGCAGGGCAAGTTTCCCGTGAGTCCAGCAAGAAGGCATGGGATCTGTGGAAAGGAGGCCTCTGGGAAAAACCCCACCTTTGAGGATAATGTTAAAAGCTGAACTTGAGACCCTGAGAATCCTATGTCCTTCCCACTCCCCGCAGGGCTTCTCTTGATCCGGCCCTGACTCCCGGATGCAGAAGCCCAGGGAGGAGCTGGGAGACAGGGAAACTTGCTGGGACGCTCCATGCATTTGTCTCCAAGAGGGTCCCCAAACCCAGGTGCCTGCAGCATCAGGGAGGCTCAGAGTTCCTCTGTCTGCCTGAAGGAAGCCTCATTTGCATGGATCCATGTAAGTTCTGAGATTCCTTCCCACACGTGGCCACCTGCAGGTGCCCCATAAATTCATCTTCCCAAGAAGAGCCAATGGGGATAGGCGAGGACCCCAAACCTGCTCCCAACCCCACATCCACAGGACGGAGAGGGATCACCTGAAGCACAGGCCAGGGGGTGAGTCCTGACCCCACTGTCTCCTCCTAATCCCAGAGGGCAGTGGAGTGGCCACAGGCACCCCACCAACTCCTCCTGTACCCCAAGCCCAAGATGAACAAACTTCCTGACTCACTGGCCTATCCCAACTTAAAAAAAAGCAGGACAACTCTCCCAGGTGGAGAAGACACCAGCTGCCTCTGCGGTGCTGAGCCCAGGAAGAAGATGATCACTGTTCAAACTGCCTTGGCAAGTTGTTTCAAAGAAATAAAACCCTTGGCTTCTCAGTGCTTTGAGTCACATTGCACTTAGTAAATGTTCGTTTTACTAATGTTTTTCACTTCCCTGTATATTTATATTCAGCAGTGAGAGACCTCTTCATATTCCAACAAAAAGTGATTAAAGGATTTGGGACACCTGTGATTATCCCCATGGGTTATTATGATCGCTCTGCACCGCGCAGCCTGCAGAGTTATTTTTCTGACCGGGATTGCAGTGCTGAGCCTGGTGTCCTCTGCTGAGTTCATTCTCCAGCTTCCTTGCATTTTATTCATCTTCCCTGGTAGCACCCGGAATTGCAGGAAGCAATCCCTGGTGCTCAGTGAAGGTCTTTGAATGAATCAAGGGGAGAGGAGTCAGGGGGAGGCAGAGGGTGTGGGAGGAGTCACATGCGCCAGAATCTTCTCTTCAGACATGTCACAGAGAGTCCCCTCCAGGCACTCTTGTTGGGCCTCAGTGCTGGACATTGGAGGACTTTTCTGACTGAGGATCATTGTGCCCTCTCTGGATCCACTGGAAAGCTCTGGGCAGCCATGTGAGCCTTGGTTTGACTTCCATCCTCCATGATTTTCCCTTTGCTTGTCAGAGGAGGTTTGGAATAACTTGGATGTCAGGGACTCTGAGCCAGACCCCATTCTTTTTCATTCCCTCCTGAAAAGCCCAGTCCTCACCGTCCCATAAGGCTCTGACCAGTGAAAAGATGGAGCTGCACGATTTCCAAAGAGAATCCTTTCCTTGGCCTCAAGCCACAGCTGCTTCCTTCTGACCTGCTGCTTGTCTTTGGATCCAGGATGGACACTCGCCACCCGCTCTTCCTCTCCTGGGACTCCCCACTCTCCTGACTCTGTGCCCCTGGGGCAGGATGGGGCAGCCACTAAAACCTCATGCAGACCAGGGCACATAAAGTGTCTTGGGAACTCACAGACCCAAGTCCAAGCCCCAGTGCCCCACGGTCTCAGACACAAGTCCCTGCCTTTCAGAGACACAGCTCTATGAGAGCCAGAGAACCTGGCTCCCTGCTCTGCTGCCACCTCCCTCCTTCCCCTTTATTTCAGCCCCATCAGCTCCTCTGATCACTCCCCTTCTTGGCCCCATTCCTACTTTCAGTCCCTCTGGCTCTGTCCAGCCTGGAGTGAGGGTGCAGACCTCCTCCCACCCCAGGCTCTGAGCACCTCCCTCAGCATCAAGTGTCTGCTTTCAGGGTGACCTTGTCCTCAGACTTGATTGGAGGAAGAAAGAGAGGAAGCCCCTACTTTAGCACACGATGTGCATGAATCTGACCTGGAATCAGACCCGGTTGAGGACCAGAGAAGGGCAACAGGGCCAGAACAGAGATTTTGACTCTTAGAAATGCACAGAGGGTGAACAGCTCAGGCTAAGAAGAGACCTGACTTGGACAGAAACAGACTGACTGCATTCCAGGTGCAGCCTTGTCAGCTCTAAGGCTGACCCAGGGGAGCCTGGGAAGGGATGGCCCCTGCACCGAGACATTTCCCAGGACCTCTTCTCAGCCTGGCACCCATAGGAAGACCAGAGGACTCAGGTCTCCTTCTGCGTGCCAGGCAGGGTCACCCTCCAGCAGTCCTGTCCCAGGGGCCTCTTTAGGGCCAGAGCAGCAGCTGAGGAACTCCCTGCTTTATGGCTTCTCATGTTCACCAAAATAGCTCAATAGAATTTTGGGAGAATTCCTCAATGACTGCTCTGGGGTGAAGGTCTCCCAGCATTGTGGCCATGTTCTGTTGTTCAGGAGATTTGGGCTGAGGTATCCAGGATGCATAAAGAGATACCTGCCTTGACAGCTCAGTCTGCAGGAGGGAAACAGAAGCTCAGAAATATTCTAGAGACCCTGAGCAAGTGCCTGGGGGAGCTTTGGTATTCTGGTGGAGATTCTGTGAGTGGAGAAGGGGTCAGGTCATCTTCTCAGAGGGGCTCTGAAGGATGCTCTGAGTTTGACAGCAGATGAGCACCTTGAGAAGAACAGGTGACAGGACATGGTAGAAATGCCCCCAAGTGCGGGATTCTCACTGGGGTCCTGGGGGTGGTGCTGGACCTTCTGAATTGGGCAGGAAGGGAAAGTCTGTCAATCAGTTCTTTTCAACATTTAGATTATTGAACTCCTTAGGGGATCCTCTGAGCTCCTCACCAGAGGGGTCTGTCCATCATTTGCTGCCTGAACACGGGCAGGTTCCTCTCCCTAGCCAAGTCTCAGGGTCACCACTTTAAAAATGAGGAATATAGCAACATGCCTTAGATTCCTCGTGAGGGAGAGCTGAGATCTTGGATGAATGGTACCAGTCCCTGCTGTGCCTTGTGCATGCTCAATCAACAGAGACACTCAGGATCACCTTTGGTGCTGAGCTCACCCTCAGCCTCAGGCTCACAAAGTGAGGGCAGGTGAAGTAGAAGCCGCACTGAGCACGTTTCAGTTTAACTCGATTGCACACATAGCAGGGCATTGATAGTGAGGTCAGAAACGTGGAGAAAGAACATTTACAGAAATATTCCATGATGGAGAACATCCTTCAAAGTACTTCAGTTTTGGAAGCCAGTGGCATCTCCGGGCTGTTTGGGTTTCATATGGAATGGGAGAGAAAGGCCTGGAGGACTTTCTGGAGGCGGGGGACGTTCTTGCTACTTTGTGCCCTAAAATAGCAGAAGAATGACTGTGTGATCCTGCTTAGGATGGGAGCCATCCCTGAACTTAGCAGATCTTTTAACATGAAATAGAGCTTCCAGGTTTTGTTGGGGAAATGTATTGTACATTTGCACACAATACAACCAGATGTGTGCACCGTTCTTAAAGACAGGAAGGCTGAGTTTCTCTCTCTCTCTCTCTTTCTTTCTTTCTTTCTTTCTTTCTTTCTTTCTTTCTTTCTTTCTTTCTTTCTTTCATTTCCTTCCTTCCCTCCCTCCCTCCCTCCTTCCCTCCCTCCCTCCCTCCCTCCCTCCCTCCCTACCTCCCTCCCTTCCTCCCTCCCTCCCTCCCTTCCTTCCTTCCTCCCTCCCTTCCTTCCTTCCTTCCTTCCTCTGGCATCTGCCCCAGCTCACATTCTCAGATTCCATCTTCCCAGGCTGATTTTCCAAGGCGAGCCCATCATTTTTGGGAGTAAACACGCTTTCCCTTGTAGTAGAGGCCAAGACTGTATCTGCCTCCTCTGCCCTCAAAGACAATGTTGTGTTTGAAGAGTCTGCACTGTCTCTTTTGTAATTATTCCCTTTTTAATTTTTAAACTCAATCTAGACAGAGTCTTTCAATCCTTCTGTGGAGATGCCCACAAAATACCCACCATGTTTTATGCTGTCTTGGTTCCTTCCCAGGGTTCTACTAGAACACCCGGTCCCATCCTGCCCAGCCGCCACCTCACTTTGTCATTCTGTCCTGATTTCCTTCAGTGAAGCCTTGACCTTAGTCTTGTGATCAATCACACCCTCCGTGGTTCCCTTTTCAACCTGAACCCACATATGACCTGCCCTGTTATAAAACATAAAACCCAGGTGACCATTGGATAAAGGAGCTTTTTAATCCGTTTTCTTAGGGTGGACATCACTGTCTTTTTAAAGCTGTTTTAACTGTCTTAACGAAACGTTTTGATAATTTCGATGTGGCCACAGATTTTCCCATAAAGATATCATCAGGTTTTGTTTTTTCTTTCTAATGTCAGGAACAGATTAAACCTTCCATGTCTCTATGAAGGTCACATATTAGTCAAACTTCATCAGTGTTTGGGGAATAAATGAATTAATGAGTTTTGGACTTTCACCCTGTTATTTATTCTTTCACTTTCATAAATGCACATCTAATTTAATCAATGAATCAGAAGAAAGTGTAAAACTCAATCAGGACTAACTAGGTGGAACTTCGGAATCTAATCAGGTATCACTTTCTGATTGGAAGCTGGTGATTGAGAAGGGGAGGGTGTGGTTAGAAACATCAATAAAAGCTCCTGAGTTTGCAAAGGAGAGACCCAAAGCCCTGGTGCCTGGAACTACTGCTTGATTCTCTGAGAGATCCCAGCACCCTACAAACTGAGTCCAGATCTGGTAAGTCACCACCTCCTTAGGAACATGCCCATCTGATCTGCAGCCAGCCAGTCAGGGATGGTGACACACAGCCCAAAGTGGCACAGAGAATTTCCTGTCTGTTTTTTCAATTTAACAGATGTAGGTTTTGATTTTTCCTCTAAATATAGTATTCACTTCATCCCTCAAATTTTGATTTCTGCTTCATTTTTCTCATTTCAAAATTCTTATTGAAGCAGTTTTTTAAAAAAGATATTAAAAATTTACAGTTGGATGAATTTTTATGTCTTGACATGTGAAGTTATTTGTTTCTGTGCCCTTCAGCTACAGTTCACACACTTAGTTGTATTGTGATTTTCTCGAGTCTTGTTCTGAACATGGGATTTATCTCTGCCCTTAGACTCTGTCCCTAAGTGGGTGATTGTGAGTATGTAGAAGGGATGAGTATTGGATCCTTCATCTGAGACTTAGTGTTTCCACCCGCACCTTCCAAGTGCTCTAGAATACTGCCACACTGCTTTTATAGTTTCTCTTATAATTTTTCAAAATAAAAACAAGTGGCATTGATTTTAAGGAGTCACTTCAGTCTTCCCCAAGCATGCTAATTGTGTAAACTGAGAATGCAGGCTGTGTGGGGCCACAGGACAGTCATTCTCATTGTTTTTGGGTGGTAAGTAACAAAAAAATTTCCCTCAAAAAGGTGGAGCTTAGCTTTCAGGATCCTGAGTGACAGATCCCAGTAATCCTGAGTTTCAGTGGAGCAATGTATAGAAATTAATGGGCCACTGGCCACCTCGTCCCCTCCTTGGTGTTTGGAAGACATTCTTTGTGGTAGTCACAGGGGCACAGATACAGATTTGTGGCCACCAAGTGCAGAATGGAACTGGGGGGAATTGAGGGCTTTTCCACCTCCACCAGAGCAATGAGATTAGCAATAGGAGAAGATGAGGTGATCATATTTGGCCTGAGAGTGATGCCTTTTCTCTGGATTTGTCCTCTAGAGTTTTCCCTTGCAGATTCATCAAGATGAGCATCAGGGCCCCACCCAGACTCCTGGAGCTGGCAAGGCAGAGGCTGCTGAGGGACCAGGCCTTGGCCATCTCCACCATGGAGGAGCTGCCCAGGGAGCTCTTCCCCACGCTGTTCATGGAGGCCTTCAGCAGGAGACGCTGTGAAACCCTGAAAACAATGGTGCAGGCCTGGCCTTTCACCCGCCTCCCTCTAGGGTCCCTGATGAAGTCGCCTCATCTGGAGTCATTAAAATCTGTGCTGGAAGGGGTTGATGTGCTGTTGACCCAAGAGGTTCGCCCCAGGTGAGGTGACCCAGGTGTCCAGGTGGGGAGGGCCCTTTTGTCCAGGGTAGGGACAGCTGTTTCAGGAGGAGGAGGGGCACCATGGAGGCCCAGAGGTTTCTGATGGTGCCAGTGAGGAAGCTCAGGAAGGCCTTGGCCATTGCCCAGCCCCTCTGGGAAAGGACTGCTCACCATGCAGGGTCCACTGAGGAAACAGAAACTTCTCTTCTAGTGGCTCTGAAAGCTACAGGCAATGGGGATGAGGCAAAATCCGGAGGGAAAAGGGGTTGGACAAAATCAGAGAGGGAAAAGTGGCAGAGAGGAGAACAGCTGATGTCTGGGATGTAAATAAAAGCTCAGGTCCTTGCCTTAGTTTGGAGCCTCTCTTCTCCTTTACCCACAGGCAGTCAAAACTTCAAGTGCTGGACTTGAGGAATGTGGATGAGAACTTCTGCGACATATTTTCTGGAGCTACTGCATCCTTCCCGGAGGCTCTGAGTCAGAAGCAAACAGCAGATAACTGTCCAGGGACAGGCAGGCAGCAGCCATTCATGGTGTTCATAGACCTTTGTCTCAAGAACAGGACACTAGATGAATGCCTCACCCACCTCTTAGAGTGGGGCAAGCAGAGAAAAGGCTTACTGCATGTGTGTTGCAAGGAGCTGCAGGTTTTTGGAATGCCCATCCACAGTATCATAGAGGTCCTGAACATGGTGGAGCTTGACTGTATCCAGGAGGTGGAAGTGTGCTGCCCCTGGGAGCTGTCCACTCTTGTGAAGTTTGCCCCTTACCTGGGCCAGATGAGGAATCTCCGCAAACTTGTTCTCTTCAACATCCGTGCATCTGCCTGCATTCCCCCAGACAACAAGGGGCAGTTCATTGCCCGATTCACCTCTCAGTTCCTCAAGCTGGACTATTTCCAGAATCTGTCTATGCACTCCGTCTCTTTCCTCGAAGGCCACCTGGACCAGCTGCTCAGGTGAGGAAGGATGGTGAGCTTTCTCTTCAGACCACAGCAGAGCCTTTCTTTGTTACAGTAAACACCAGTGGGTATGCACTGTGAGCCTGTGAGGAAGTAAGAGTGAGGGGACACTAGAATATCCATGCATTATCCTGTTGGTGGCTCTGTCCTGATACGGGTATCACACAACCATCCCAATAAAGTCAGAGGGATCTCCTGGGCTAGATGATATAGAGAAGGTGCCAAGCTAGGAAGCTAGCTACTGCAGGGTTTAGATCTGGCGAGAGTGCATTTGTGAATTCCTCCTGAGGATGTGTGTCTAAGTTAAGATGATGGGAAATAGGGAGGTGAAGAGGGCACTAAAGAGAATGCCCATCCCACTCCTATATTTTAAAATATGAGGTCTATCCTCACCTGCCTAGTGAACAGGCAAAATCCTATGTTTCCCTGTCAGCACCCTGTTTTGAGCTCCAGGTCAGGTAATTAATGTATGGGAAATACATGATGATAGAATAGAGGGTGAGGGAGCAGGAGCAAAGAATGGTAAAAGTGATAGATGGTTTGCTGATGGTACAGGCATGTCAGGGTCCCCTGCAACCTGGCCAACCCAGCTGATGTTGCAGGATCCTGCCTGGGTTTGTCATTTATGCCTGTGTCTCCATCGGGCTCCTGTGGCCCAGAGATGTGGTTTTCTACCTGACAGATGAGGAAAGGGAGACTTAGAGTTCATGGACTTGATCCAATCACCTCGGTGATGGTGAAGGACTGAGCCTCGATTGGGACTGCACTGAAGGAACAGAGTCTCCATTCCCACACCCCAGGTGCTGACTATCCTCAGATGAGCAGAGCAGCCCTGGGTTATGGAGAGCATCATCTCTCACCCTGAAGTCATCCCCACCTCTCTCCTCTAACTCCTTCTTGTTCTCTCCCAGGTGTCTCCAGGCCTCCTTGGAGATGGTCGTTATGACCGACTGCCTGCTGTCAGAGTCAGACTTGAAGCATCTCTCTTGGTGCCCGAGCATCCGTCAATTAAAGGAGCTGGACCTGAGGGGTGTCACGCTGACCCATTTCAGCCCTGAGCCCCTCACAGGTCTGCTGGAGCAAGCTGTGGCCACCCTGCAGACCCTGGACTTAGAGGACTGTGGGATCATGGATTCCCAACTCAGCGCCATCCTGCCTGTCCTGAGCCGCTGCTCCCAGCTCAGCACCTTCAGCTTCTGTGGGAACCTCATCTCCATGGCTGCCCTTGAGAACCTGCTGCGCCACACCGTCGGGCTGAGCAAGCTAAGCCTGGAGCTGTATCCTGCCCCTCTGGAGAGTTATGACACCCAGGGTGCTCTCTGCTGGGGGAGATTTGCTGAACTTGGGGCTGAGCTGATGAACACACTGAGGGACTTAAGGCAGCCCAAGATCATTGTGTTCTGCACCGTCCCCTGCCCTCGCTGTGGCATCAGGGCCTCCTATGACCTGGAGCCCAGTCACTGCCTCTGTTGAATGCCTGCCATCAGGGTGGATATATTTCAAGCTTTCTTCTGGTCATTTCGGAGCTGAAACCTAGGCCATGAGTGCATGTTAAAGGGAGCACAGACCCATCGTTTCAAATGCCTCCTCAGTGTGAATGGGAAAGGAATGAGGATGCAGGAGGGGCAGGACTGGGGGAAAAGTTGACTTGGAGTGGATGGGCTCTTTAGAGACCTGTGTCCCAGAGAATCAGAAATGGGAATCTGAATTGCTAGAGTGAGAATCAGGGAGGAGAGACACATGAGAGGGTTACCCCTGCACAGATGGTTGTAAAGTAACAGTCAGAAATAAAGGGAAACTGAGTGGAAACTATCTGGTGTCCTCCGTAATTGCTTAACATGGCTTAACAATTAAACAATTTAAACCTAAAAAAGTCCAGTTACTGATCGAGCTAATAAGGCACTGATTTGTCTGTGACTGATGAGGTTCAGCTCCTGGAAATCAAACCATCAAAATGGAATTTGATCATTTAGATCAATCCCCCTCCTGTTACCTTCTTGCTATTCTCTGTGCCTATTTAGTGGCACATGAGAGACGCACACAGGGCCTGAAGCATTCTAAGTGCAAAGTGAGTGTCAGCCACTTAAGTTAAGCCCCTTCAGGTGCCCTCATTCTGTCCTGATGCCGAGACCCTGTTCACTCTCAATGGGTGGATTCAGAGCTCTCAGTTCCTGACCGTTACCTGTGCTGGGAAAGGACTTCACTGCCCAAGGCGTGGCCCTGCCCTGGAAGGGGAGCTCCACACTGTATGAGCAGGAGCCTCAGGGCATCACTAACCCATGCCTGTCATGGTGGGTAGCGGCCCTTGCTGAATTAAAGTAGTTGTGGCCAATAAAGACATCCAAATTCCCTTTCAGCAAAATGCTGACATTATGTAGGCATATAATACCTGTAACATCAATGAAAGACCTTTTCTTAACTCCTCCTTTTTCTCCCTGTGAAGGAAGACTAGTGCATGGTAGTAGGAATCACACATCCTTAGAGGGTGGATAATGATCAAGTGCCTGTGGGTAATTAATGACCACACCTGTGCTGAAGGACCCTACACAAAGGGCACCTAAGTGTAGAACCCTGCCGAGGACTCAGGGGCTGGTGCTGTTGGGCACGAAACAGCCAAGAGGCTCAGCTTCCCTGTAAAATGAAGATGATGATGCCACCACCCTATGAGACTATCGTAGGACCCAATGAGATGGTGTATGGTCAGGACTTGGAATGGGGCCTGGCATACAGTAAGAGCTCAATATATGCATCTTGTTCTTTTTTTTTTCCCCTCCTAATAGAAGTCCCATCATTCTTCACCCTTCAATCTCACCTTCTATTCCTGATAATAGGGAGGCAGCAGAAACCCACGGCAGGCAATGGGACTCAACTTCTACACACCACCACCACCACTTAATCGTGATTCCCCCAAACAGCAGAGCCTCAGCAGCCAGCAGAGGTTGGGATGGGTGGGGCAGGACTGAGTTCATCTCTAGTGATCATGAGATAAAAATTTCCAACCCATGAGACTCATGTGCCATCTGCTGGTTGGTCAGACCATCTGGTGTAATTCATTGATGCAAACAGGATGATATTGAGTGGTATCTCCAAAAATCTGCTGTTATGTAAGTGTTTATAGAGAATAAATATTGTGATTTATATATAATTTTATACATATTGAATACATATTTTTACATAAATTTATGTACATAATTTTATACATATTGAATATATATAATTTTATACATATTGAATATATGTATATTGAAATTTTAAATTATAATGGGAATTTAGTATTTTAAAGTATGTAGTGCAATATTTTAAAAAGGTTTGTAGGCTGGGCACAGTGGCTCACGACTGTAATCCCAGCACTTTGGGAGGCTGAGATGGGTGGATCACGAGGTCAGGAGATGGAGACCATCCTGGCTAACATGATGAAACCCCGTCTCTACTAAAAATACAACAAATTAGCCGGGCATGGTGACAGGCACCTGTAGTCCCAGCTACTCAGAAAGCTGGGGTAGCAGAATGGCATGAACCCAGGAGGCAGAGCTTGCAGTGAGCCGAGAGCGTGCCACTGCACCCCAGCCTGGGGGACAGAGTGAGATCCGTCTCAAAAAAAAAGAAAATGTTTGTGTTGGCCTGGGCAGCACGTATACTAAAGTTGGAATGACACAGAGAAGATTAGCATGGCCCCTGCGCAAGGATGATGTGCAAATTCGTGACAAGTTCCATATTTTTCAGGAAACAACAGATGCTGGAGAGAATGTGGAGAAATTAGGCATGCTTTGACAGTGTTGGTGGGAGTGTAAATTAGTTCTAGCATTGTGGAAGACAGTGTGGTGATTCCTCAAGGATCTAGAACTGGAAATATCATTTGACCCAGCAATCCCATTACTGGGTATATACCCAAAGGATTATAAATCATTCTACTATAAAGACAAATGCACACGTATGTTTAGTGTGGCACTGTTCTTAATAGCAAAGACTTGGAACCAAACCAAAAGCTCTTCAGTGATAGACTAGATAAAGAAAATATGGCACATATACACCATTCAATACTATGCAGCCATAAAAAATGATGAGTTCAGGTCATTTTCAGGGACATGGATGAAGCTGGAAATCATCATTCTCAGCAAACTAACACAGGAACAGAAAAGCAAATACCACATGTTTTCAGTCATAAGTGGGAGTTGAACAATGCGAACACATGGATACAGGGAACATCACACACTGGGGCCTGTTGGGGGGTAGGGATGGTGGGGGAGGGTTAGCATTAGGATAAATACCTAGTGTAGATGATGGCTTGATATGTGCAGCAAACCACCATGGCATATGTATCCCTATGTAACAAACCTGCACGTTCTGCACATGTGTCCCAGAACTTGAAGTATATTTAGAAAATGCTTAATGTGGCATTGAGTCTCAAATAAAATGACACCTTCAAAACTGATTTTGAAGATCAATGAATAAGAATTGCTCTTATTTAAAAATATTTAAGTTTATACAATTTTGGAGCTGGAAGGAAGTGCAATATTTTTAGGGATATATGATTTATTTTCTTAGAGCAGTTATAAGGTTGCAGTGAAGTTGAGCAGAAAGTGGATCATTCCCACATACTTCATGACCCCACTCTAGCGCGGACTCCTAAAGGATCAACGTCCTGCCCCAGCGTGGTCCATTTGCTCCAATGCATGAACCACACGAACCATCCTTATCACCCAAAGTTCATAATTAACATTAAGGGTTCACATCTGGTGCTGTATATTCTATGAGTTCTGATGAATTGATGATGACATGTATTCACCCTTATAGCATCATGCAGAGTAGCTTCAGTGCCCTAAAAAAATCACCTGTTCTCTTTCTATCCATCCCACTCTACCCTGACTCCTTGCAACCCCTGGGCTTTCTACTGTGTCCATAGATTTGCCTTTTCCAGAATGTCATGTGGCCTTTTCATGTTGGCTTCTTTCACTTGGTTATGTGCATTTAAGTTTTTTTTATGTCTTTTAGGGCTTAATAATTTACACTGTCAGGATGTGCTACAGTTTATTCATCCATTTATCTGCTGAAGAATATATTGGTCCCTATTAAGTTTTGTCTATTATGAATGTAGTGGTTAAAAACATCCAGGTTTTAGGTTTTCTCATTTGGGTAAATGCCAAGGAGCGTGGCTGCTGGACCATGTGCCTAGGTTGTGTTTGATAATGATTTTTTCCTTGACAATCTCATGTAGACAGAGACTGCTTCTTCAAGGGCAGGGACTGTGTCTCTGTCACCCTGTGGTCCCACAGCAGAGCATGGAACCTGGCAGGTGGCTGTAAATGCTTATTGATCACATAGTGCTCAGAAATCACTTTATAGCCACTACAATGCAAATGTCGGGCAGTCAACATGAGCTGCCACCAATAATATAAACACGTTGAATATGGATGAAGTCACCCTCCTTTTGCCGGGGTCACTACCTGTGTGTCACGGCAGTGCCGTCATCACATGGATGAACTTCATCTGTTTTTTATAGATTTCCCCCCATGTAATACAGGACACAGTCTTTAAACAAAGAGTCATCAGAGTTCCTGATGGCCACTGGTCTGAGTCTGTCCTTTTGGCACTAAGGGCCCTCATAACTGCACTTACCTACCACAGGCGTCCCTGTAAGCACCACTAGAGGGCGAGCATCTTCACCAAACCTGATGGACCCAAGAAGTCTGACCTGAATGTCTCCCTGCTAGGCAGGGGTCCTCAGAGGAATCTTCTATCCAGTCCAGATGGAGGGAACTGGAAGAGTCTCCTCAAACCCAGGACCAACAAAGAGATTCCCTCCAAGATCCCAATTAGGGAGCCAGGACAGGGACTGAGAGGGAACAGGGAAGGGAAGGCACCATGGGTCCCAAAACCTGGAACTGATGGAGAAGGTCCCTTCCAGAAACTGTTTGGAGAGAACCAGCTGGGAAGAATTAAAGTCTCTGAGATCTTCCACCTAAGAGCTGGACATCTGAATTCAGGAAGACTTACCCGAGGCCTTCCCATGGCGCAATCGAGAAGAGCTCACGGGGCTCTTGCCAGTGCAGGATGCATTGGTTCTGGAGGCATCAGGAAGAGATCGGAGGTCCCCTTTGAATCCCACTTCTAACACCAATGAGGTCCACTAAAAATTATGGGGTCTATAGATTTAGAAAAAAGGAGCGTAATTTCTTCTAAAGGTTTACAACCTGCTCGCTGGGAAATGGGCCTCCAGGCAGGACCTGAGGCAAGCGCTTGGAGGGAGGGAAGGTGACCCAGGAATCTATGCTGAACCTGTTGGCCACCAAGTGTGCATATTCAGCAGGTCATTGGAGCAGCTATGAAAATTCACAGGGTGGGGGATGCATGCATGTATGGTAAGCAAATATACATGTCACATACATCCCAGGTTCACCTGGTGGTTGAGGCTTTACATTTAAATGCATTATAATTAGGTTCTCTGCATCCAAAGGAGAAGTTGGGACATGAAGGTCCCCAATTCCTAACTAAAGGGCCTGGGGAGTCACCTTCTACAAATCACAAAGTCCCCTCAGAGGGGGTTTATTTAACCCTATATAAAGTGGCTTAAGGCTGAGTGCAGTGGTTCACGCCTGTAATCCCAGCATTTTGGGAGGCCAAGGTGGGCAGATCACTTGAGGTCAGAAGTTGGAGACCAGCCTGACCAACTTGGAGAAACATCATCTCCACTAAAAATACAAAATTACCTGGGCATGGTGGTATATGTCTGTAATCCCAGCTACTCGGGAGGCTGAAGCAGGAGAATCGCTTGAACGCAGGAGACGGAGGTTGCGGTGAGCTGAGATCACACCATTGCACTGCAACCGGGGCAACAAGAGCAAAACTCGGTCTCAAAATCCATAAATAAATAAATAAATAAATAAATAAATAAATAAATAAATACAATAAAGCGGCTTGTTTTCCAGCCTGACTCAGGGTAGCCCAGAGTCTTCTGATGGTGCTGGTGAGGAAGCTCAAGGAGGCTTTGGCCATTGTCCAGATCCTCAGAGAAAGGACTGCTCACCATACAGGGTCCACTGTGGGAACAGAAACCTGCTTTTTCCCAGTGGAAGGTAAAGGGACTAGAAGTGGGGAGCAGTATGAATCAAAAGAGAAAACGGACTGAGAAAAGTCAGAGAGAGAACAGGGAGCAATGAGAATGAAAGCAAAAGTCAGGGATGGGTCCTTCTAAATTCTGAGCTTCTCCCTTACTTTACCTATAGGAGGTGGAAACTTCAAGTGCTGGACTTGCTGGATGTTGATGAGAATGTCTGGGCTGGATGGCCTGGAGGCTAGGCCCTGTCCTCCTCCCCAGAGGCCATGAGTAAGAGGCAGACAGCAGAGGACTATCCAAGGATGGGAGAGCACCAGCCCTTAAAGGTGTTCATAGACGTCTGCCTCAAGGAAACACCCCAAGATGAATGCCTGAGATACCTCTTCCAGTGGGTTTACCAAAGGAGAGTTTTAGTACACCTGTGCTGTAGTAAGTTGGTGAATTATCTAACACCCATTAAATATCTTAGAAAGTCATTGAAAATAGTCCACCTGAATAGTATTCAGGAGTTGGAAATTCACAACATGTCCTGGCTGCATCTGATAAGAAAGCTTCATTGTTACCTGAAGGAGATGAAGAATCTTCGCAAACTCGTTTTCTCCAGGTGCCATCATTACTCGTCGGACAATGACCTCGAGGAATGGTTACTCACCAAATTCAGCCTGTGTTCCTCAGGCTGGAACACCTCCAATTGCTTAAAGTAAAATTGATCACCTTCTTCAGTGGGCACCTGGAACAGCTGATCAGGTGAGAAAGGATCGTGCACTTTCTCTGAAGACCACAGCACAGCCTTTTTTTGTTACAGCAAACGCTAGAAGGCATAACTTTTGTGTCAGCCAGTGGTGACATCACAGTGAAGGGGACACCAGAATATCAACACATTGTCCCATTCAGTGCTCCATGTTCTGGAGTGGCTATCACAGGATCTCTGCAATGAGGGCAGCGGGGTCACCTGGGGTAGAGGCTAGAGAGCTACATCATGTACAAGCCAGGTAGTGGGGGTTTCAGCTCTACTGGGGGGTGCATATGTGAATTTCTTGTTACAAAGTGTGTTTCAAGTTGATATGATAGGAAAGAGGTAATAGAGGAGGGTATGAAAGGAGGGACAGCGCATCAAACCTGTGCATTTCACAGTAGAAACTCTGTCCTCACCAGCTTAGTGATCACAAATGATCCTGTCTCTATTCCCTGTCTGTAAAAGGTTGTTTTGAACCCCAGGAAAGGTAACTGACATGGGAAATGTGTGCTTCTTGAATGGAGGCTGAGGGAGTAGGCGTGAGAGTGGTAAAAAGTGATAGGTGGTTTGCAGATGCAGGCACGTCAGGGAGCCCCTGCCAGTAGGTAGCCCTAGCTGATGACCCTAGACCTTGCTCAGTTGAGTTCTTCATGCACATCTCCCACCGGGTACCTGTGGCCCAGAGATGAAGTTTTCTGCTAAAAGATGAAGAAAAGAGGCTTTAGTGATGTGATTTTGTGGCCTTGAACCAATCACACAAGCAATGGTGAAAGGATTGAGGCTAAACTAGGACTGCCCCTGAATGATCAGAGTCCTCATCACAGAGCAACTTGCATGTGGACCATCATCACATGATGGGAATAAACTTGTGTTTGGGTGAAGCAGACATTTCCCTTTCAGTTATTCCCCACCACCTTCATCTAACTGGTATCACTGCCCAGAACTAACTTCTTGATCTCCACAGGTGCCTCCAGAACCCCTTGGAGAACTTGGAGTTAACTTGTGGCTACCTATTGGAAGAGGACATGAAGTGTCTGTCTCAGTACCCAAGCCTCAGCTACCTAAAGCATCTGAATCTCAGCTACGTGCTGCTGTTCCGCATCAGTCTTGAACCCCTCGGAGCTCTGCTAGAGAAAATTGCTGCCACTCTCAAGACCCTCATCTTCGAGGGCTGTCAGATCCACTACTGCCAACTCAGCGCCATCCTGCCTGGCCTGAGCCGCTGCTCCCAGCTCACCACCTTCTACTTTGGCAGAAATTGCATGTCTACGGACACCCTGAAGGACCTGCTGCGCCACACCAGTGGGCTGAGCAAGTTAAGCCTGGAGACGTATCCTGCCCCTGAGGAGAGTTTGAATTCCTTGGTTCGTGTCGATTGGGAGATCTTCGCCCCACTTCGGGCTGAGCTGATGTGTACACTGAGGGAAGTCAGGCAGCCCAAGAGGATCTTCACTGGTCCCACTCCCTGCCCTTCCTGTGGCTCATCACCGTCTGAGGAACTGGAGCTCCATCTTTGCTGCTAGGGAAGGCGTGCCTAGTGGGGTTGATAAATCCAAAGTTCTCTTCCAGGCACTTGGACACTAAAATCTAGTATGTAAGTGCAAGTTATGTTTGTTTTTTCTTATTTCCTTTTTTAATAATTCTAAAATTTTATTAAAGAACATTTGAGACAGGGTTTCGCTGTGTTGCCCCAGCTGGTCTGAAACTGCTGGGCACATGGGATTCTCCTGCCTTGGCCTCCTAAAGTGCCAGGATTACTGGCATGAGTGATTGTGACCAGGCCACATGCAACTTACAGGAAGCACAGAATTCTTTGCTTCAGGCAGGTGCTCAGTATGAGGGAAAAAAGATAACAGCAGGGGGCAAGACTGGAGGAAAATGTGGAGGTGGAGTCAATGAGACCTTACGGGACCCATGTCCTACAGAGTCAGAAAGAGAAGCTAAAGTTCTACAGTGATGAGAATGTTATCCCTGCAGGGACGGTTACCAAGAAATATCAGAAATAACCTCAATGAAAACTTTCTGGTGTCCTCTGTATTTGATTGACTTGTTTTAGCGATTTATACATCAGAAATCTCTAGTTATTGAGTTACTGATGGAAAAGTATCAAAGTACTCTGTTGTCTGTGATTGAGATTCAGCTGCAAAACATCTAATTCCCACCCATTCTTTTTCTTTGCTTTTTTTTAAAAAAAAAAAAAAAAAAAAAAAAAAAAAAGACAACATCTTGCTTTGTCACCCAGGCTGCAGTGCAGTGGTCCCATCTGGGCTCACTGCAATCCTACCCTTCGGGGCTCAAGTGATTCTCATGCCTCAGCCACTCTAGTAGGTGGAATTGCATGCAAGTGCCACCAAGCCTGCTAGTTTTTGTATTTTTAGTAGAGACGCGGTTTTTCCATGTTGACCAGGCTGGTCTTGAGCTCCTGGCTTCAGTGATCTGCTGACCTTGGCCTCCCAATGTGCTGGGATTACGGGTGTGCCAATGATCTCCACCCATTCTTTACTTCTCTTCAGTCATCTGTTTTTTCCTTACATTTTCGCCTGCAAGGAGCAGCTCAGTCAGGCACAAAGGGACGGGCAGAGAGGGGCCCCGAGGAGAAGATGGGCTTGAGGTGGTAGGCAGAGCTGGGATCAAGCTACAGGGGCCTTTGTTGGGAAGCAGAAATGGCACCTAGTTCAATGACCTGGCCAGCTATGGGGCCACTGTGCCCACCCTGCTAACAGTGCCAAGTTCCTGGGTGTCGAAGGGAGGTTCTGTGCTAATCCTCCTGGGGCTGCATTTCCAAGATCTGCCCCCCACAGGGGTGACCACAGAGACTGACGTTCCTAATTGCTGGGTCTGGGGACCACGGTCCACCCCTGGAGGCACCCCACCTTGGCAGGGTTGTGAGCCAGGCCTCTGCCCCGTGTTCCTGAGGCAGACAGCTGTGCCACCCACACCCTCTCATGGCTTAATGAGACCCGCTCCCGGGTCTGGAGCCTCTACAAAGCCTCAAACTCACTCCTCACGGCCTGCTGTTAGCCTGCAATATTCTTAACTAGAGTGCAGTTGGGGCTCATTCAACCAGACCCAGAAGCATTGGGTTTGTTTTTGCAGGGTTGGCCAGAGCTGCTGTGAACCTGCATCTCACCTGTCACCTCTGTGGAGAAACACAGAGAGAGGGCATAACTGAGGCTACATACACTTTGAACCTGATGGGATCCTGGGACAAGAGGGAGTCCTGGCCCTCCCGAGTTGGCAGGACAGTAGCTCCAAAGGCACAACTGAAGCTGCCCAGGTCGCAGTTCCAACCAAGGTCCCCCAGTGCTCTTGAGGGCTCAGGAGGTCTCCCCTTCTCCTGCAGCATGGGGGTGTCTGCTCCCACTGTGTGGTCCCTCCTGGCACCTGCTGTAATTTTGGAGCGGAGTTGGGGTCAAGCATGTATGCTGTGGCAGCCCAGATGAGCGTGTGCATGCTCAGGTTCGTGCTGATGCACCGTCTGCCTGCTGTCTTGAACACTCTGGGCTTTGGGCCCTGATGAGCATGGGAGGGAGGCTGAGAGGGGGCTGAGGACAGATCAGTGCTGGCCTTTGGATGCTCCTTGATGCAAGTGACCTGGGCGCCATGGGTGGTGGTGGGAGGCAGACAGACTCCTGGATGGGAAGACGAGGGTACCTGGTGAGGCTCTACCTTGTGACCAAGGCGGGCCTGAAGCCCGTGGGCTGGTCCACCAGTGCTATGGACCAGAGTGGGAATATGTGGTGCCTTTTCTGTGCCTGCCAATGGCTACCTATGACCCAAGCAGCACATACTTCCTTCCCCATGATGCCCCAACAGCCCCAGACTCAGGGAAAACATCAGGATGAACAGTGGCAGAGTGAAACTACCCACTCTTGGGATGATTTTCCTGCAGACAAGCAATCCACTCTGGGGCCTTTTCTCTACTGAGAGCTGTGGAGATGATGAGATGACTTTCCTGGAAAGAGCAGCAGACACCACTGTGTACTCCAGGGACAAACATGGAAGCTGCTTTTGCTGTGCCTGGTTCATTTGCAGCCTTGCAAAAATCTGGCACCTGTGCTGGCACCTGAAGCTGCCTGCCCCACTGCTGTGGGAGCCAGTGACTGTCCAAAGTGACCAGACCCCCTGCTCACTCAGACACCCCTCACTGCTCCAGTCCTGACCCTCCCTTAATAGGCATGTGATCCAGGCCTGAAGCATGAGCCAAGCATAGTCTACCAGTCTGAGTGGGCAGAACAAACCCAGTGAACCCCATCAAAACTCCGGCAAAGGTGCCCCCAGCCATAGAGGCTTCTGGCCAGAAAAGTCACATCCCAAGGATTTCATAAGAGAAAATTACTTAAACACAAAGAAAGACAATAAGAAAGGAAGGATGGAAGAGAGAAGTCTCTAACCAACCAGAAAACAAGAAATTAAATGGGAGTACTAAGCCTTTATCAATAACAACAATGAAGACAATATATCTCAGTTCTGCAAGTGAAAGTCTTAGGGTCGTTGAATGAGTAAAAGAATAAGACCATACTATATGCTGTTTTCCAGAAACTCACTTCACCTATAAGGACACATGTAGTCTGAAAGTGAAGGGGTAGAAAAAGATATTCCATGCAACACACCTGTGTTTCCAGCTAACTGGCAGACTGACATGGGAGGATCATTTCAGCCTGAGAGGCCGAGGCTGCACTGAGCCGAGATTGCACCACTGCACGCCAGCCTTAGAAACAGAGTAAGGCTCTGTCTTTCAAAAGAAGAAGAAAGAAAAGAAAAGCAAAGAAGATGTCTCTTCACATTTTATGCTGCACAGGCATTTTTTTTCTGATCTGCACTGCACTGCCAAGCCAGGTGTATTCTGTTGAGCTCACTTTGCAGCTGCCTTGCTTCTTGTTTATCCTAAGTAGCACCCAGAATAGTAGGTGGCACATTACAGGCACTCAGTCAAAGGTTTTTTTTTTTTGTTTCACATTTTTTTGTCTGTTTGTTTTGTTTGTTTGTTTGTTTTTGAGACAGAGTTTCACTCTTGTTGCCCACCCAGGCTGGAGTGCAATGGCGTGATCTCAGCTCACTGCAACCTCTGCTTCCCGGGTTCAAGCAATTCTCCTGCCACCACACCCGACCAATAGGAAGGGGAGGCACTGGATGTTAATAGTGTCAAATGTGCCAAAATCTTCTCTGTGGTTTTTCCCCAGAGTCTCCCCCTCCAGGGCCACCTGAAAATCCTCAGCCCTGGACAATGCAAGATTTTTTTTGACTGAGGATCACTGTGCTCCTTCTAGATCCATCAGAAAGTGCCAGGCAGTCTGATAGGTCCTGGTTTGACTTACATCTAGCAAGACCTTCACCTGGTTGGCAGGAGTAGATATGGGGGTCACTTGGATGACAGGGACTCCAGTCCAGACCCCATTCTACCTCATTCCCTCCTGCAAAGTTCAATCCTCACAGTCCTATGAGGCTGTGGCAAGTGCAGAGACAGAACTGCACCATATCCAACGTGCCTCCCTTCCCCTGGCCTCACACCAAGTCTCCCTCCCTCTGACATGTCCCTTGTCTTTGCATCCAAGGTGGATGTTTGCCATTGACTCTCTCTCCCCATGTCTCCCTGCTAGACTGACTCTTTGCCCCTGGGGTGAGATGGGGCAGCCACTGGAACCTCATGTAGACCAGGGTGAAATCAAAGGGCCTTAGAAACTCACAGCTCCACATCCAGGCACAGGTCCTTTGAGGATCTCAGACACAAGTCCACAGCTTATCAGGGATGCGGCTCTGTGAAAGCCAAATAACCCGGCCCCCTACCCTGCTGCCATCTCTCTCCTCTGTGCTTACTCTGGCCCACATCAGCTCCTCTGGGCCACTCCCTTTCTGGGCCCTGTTCTTTTCCTTAGTCCTCCTGGCTCCATCCAGCCTGCAGCGAGTTCCGAGACCTTCCCCACCCCAGGCTGCCACAAGCACCTTCTTAGGCATCTACTCTGCTTTCAGAGTGACTTCTCCTCAGATCTTTATTGGGGAAAAAAGGAGGGGCAGCCCCTGATCTTGGAAAAGACGGTCACAAATGCGACCTGGAATGAGATCCTGTTGAGGACTAAAGAAGTCCAGCAGGGCCTGAACAGTGATTTCTACTGTTAGAAACATGGAGAGGGCAAACACCATGGGCAAAGAAAGCCCTGACTCAGAAACAGACTCACTGCATTCCAGGTGCAGCCTCGTCAGCTCTAAGACTGGGCAAGGGGATCCTAGAAGGGATGGCCCCCTGCACTGGGACCTGTCCCAGGCTCTGCCAACAGCCTGGCACTTCTAGGAAAACCAGAGGAGTCAGCTCTTCCTGTGGAAGGCAGACAAACTTCCCCTCCATTGGTCCTGGGTGCCTCTTTAGGTCCGGAAGAGCAGCTGAGGAGCTCCCTGCTTTGTGCCTTGCTATGTGCACCCAAAAAGCTCAGTAGAATTTGGGGAGAATGTATGAGTCACTGCTGATTCCAGGGAGAGTGTCTCTTAGCATTGTTTGTGGCCATAGTCCTCGGTGCAGGAGAGATCGGCTGACATTTCCAGGAAGCAGAGGATTCAGCTTCTCTCACAGCTCAGGCTGGGGGAGGAAAACAGAAATTCAGAAATATTTTAGAGACCCCAATCAAAAGCCTGGAGAAGCTTTGGAATCCCAGTAGAAATTCTGTGAGTGGAATTGAAGTCAGGCCGTCCCTTCAGATGGGCTCTGAAAGCTACTCTGACCTGGACAGCAGAGGAGCACCTTCAGAAGCACAGGCAACCAGAACATGGTAGAAAGACCCCCCAAACTGCAGGATTCTCACTGGGGTCCTGAGGATGGTGCAGGATTCCCCCAAGAGGTTCATTTTTCTCCCAAATTCTTCAGATACACAGCTTGCACCATTCATGCTTCCAGATTGAAAAGTCTCCCTCCTTATGTCTGACCACACTGCTCCTCTCTGGGCTCTGCCCCAGCTCACACACTCAGATTCACTCTTCCCAAGCTGGTATTCTGAGGGAAGCCCATCCTGTTTGCGAGTAATGATGCTTCACCTTCCAGTAGGAGTCAAGATTGTGTCTGCCCTCTCTGCCCTCAAAGACACTGTGATGTTTTACGAGTCTGCATTATCTCTTTTGTAATTAGGTTTTTTTAATTTTTAAACTCAATGTAGAAGGAAGTCTTTCAATCCTTTTGTCTAGATGCCCACAAAATACCTGCCATGTTTTTTGTTGTCTTGGTTCCCTCCTAGGGCCCCATTAGAACAGTCAGTACTGTCCAGCCCAACCTCCACCTCACTTTGTAATTTAGGCCTGATTTCTTTCAGTGATGCCTTGACCTTAACCTTGAGATAAATTACACCCTCAGTAGTTCCTGTCTTCCACCTGAATGGGCATATGATCTACCATGTTAGGTAGCGCAAAACCCAGGTGACCAGTGGATACACTGAGATTTTTATTGTGTTTTTAGGGATGACATCACTGTCTTCTTAAAGCTGTTTTAACTCTGAAAAGTTTTGATACTTTTGATGTGGCCAAAGGTTCTCCAATAAAGATACCATATATAAATATATGTATTTCTAATGTCTGAAACAGATTAAAACCTTCCCTGTATCACTATGAAGGTCACATATTGGTAAAACTTTACCAATATTTATGGAATAAGTGAATAAATGAGTTTTAGTCCTTCACCCTATTATTAATTCTTTCACTTTCATAAATCCATATCTAATTTAATCACTTAATAAGAAGAAAGTTGAAAACTCAATCACCGTTAACTGGGTGGAAGTTCAGGATCCAGTTGGATGTCATTTTTGGATTGGAAGTTGGTAATTGAGAAGGGGGTTGTGGTGAGAAAAGTCAATAAAACTCCTGAAGATGCACAGAAGAGACCCAAAGCCCTGGCTCCTGGAGCTACTGCTTGATTCTCAGAGAGGTCCCAGCACCCTGCAAAGTGAGTCCAGATCTGGCAAGTCACCACTTATTAGGGATGTGCCCGTTTGATCTGATGTTCTGTATAGCATGTCACACAAAAGTCTGGAAGACACTAGCACATACACTGTGAAGAGAAGTCTCAAAAAAAGGGAAGGTTATAGAAGACACTTGCTCTGTGTTTTTGGAATGTTTTGCATTGAGAATTCTGTCCAGAGAAGGGAAAAAGAATGAAAAACAAAGGAAGCTCACCCAAATGTACCTCTATGTACCTTTTACCATGCTGGACTTTCTTTTGTTTTGTTTTCTTTTCTCTCTCTCTCTCTTTTTTTTTTTTTTTTTTGATATGGCATCTCGCTCTGTTGCCCAGGCTGGAGTGCAGTGGCATGATCTTTGATCACTGTAACCTCCACCTCCTGGGTTCAAGCAATTCTCCTCCCTCGGCCTCCCCAGTAGTTGGGATGATACTTGCCACCACGCCCAGTTAATTTTTGTATTTGTTTTTATTATACTTTAAGTTTTAGGGTACATGTGCACAATGTGCAGGTTAGTTACACATGTATACATGTGCCATGTTGGTGTGCTGCACCCAGTAACTTGTCATTTAACATTAGGTATATCTCCAAATGCTATCCCTCCCCACTCCCCACACAACAGGCCCCAGTGTGTGATGTTCCTCTTCCTGTGTCCATGTGTTCTCATTGTTCAATTCCCATCCTATCACAAGGACAAAAAAACAAACACCGCACGTTCTCACTCATAGGTGGGAATTTTTGTGTTTTTAATAGATACAGAGTTTCACCGTGTTGCCCAGACTGGTCTCGAACTCCTGACCTGAAGTGATCCATGCGCCTCAGTCTCCCAAAGTGCTGGGATTACAGACGTGAGCCACCACACCGGGCCAATTGCTGGACTCTCATGTCACACATGGATATGGTATCACAAAGGCAATTTTTTCCATAATCCAATGTATTTATATTATTGGTAGTGAGCTAATGTTGACGTCCCTAAGTTAGCAATTCAGTGGCTATACCCATGACAAACGTTTCCATGCATCACGTGGTCAACAGCATTTGCTTCTGGGTTCAAGAGATTCTCTTGCCTCAGCCTCCTGACTATCTGGGATTACAGGGGCCCGTCACCACCCCAGGCTAATTTTTTGTATTTTTAGTAGGGACGGGTTTTTACCACATTGGCCAGGCTGCTCTCAAATTCCTGACCTAGTGATCTGCCTGCCTCGGCCTCCCAAAGTGCTGGGATTACAGGCGTGAGCCACCACGCCTGGCCATTAACCATTCTTAAAATATCACATTGCATTCTTTAAAAGTTTTATATCTTTCATATACATAAATTACAACACAAATATTTATACTCAACTAGTATTCACATTATAGTAAATTTTCTTTTCTTGCTCTGTTGCCCAGGCTGGAGTGCAGTGGTGCGATCTCAGCTCACTGCAACCTTCGCCTCCCGGGTTCAAGCGATTGTCCTGCCTCAGTCTCCTGAATACCTGGGATTACAGGCGAATGCCACCACGCCCAGCAATTTTTTTTGTATTTTGAGTAGAGACGGGGTTTCACCATGTTGGCCAGGCTGGTCTCAAAATCCTGACCTGAAGTGATCTGCCCGCCTCAGCCTCCCAAAATGCTGGGATTACAGGTGTGAGACACCAAGCCTGGCCATGACAATGGCCTCAGCCTCCCAAAGTGCTGGGATTACAGACATGAGCCACCGCTCCTGGCTCATAATAGTAAATTTAAAAAAATACCATATAATATAATCCTTGCAACATTAAATTACACCATCTGATCTGATCTACCAGCAGATGGCACCCGAGACCTATGGATTGGACATTTTACTCTTCTTAGGAATGAATCCAGTCCAGAAATGCCCACCCTGCCCCCTGCTGGCTCCTGGGGCTCTGCTGTTTGGGGGAGTCATGATGAAGTTGTGGCAGAGGGTAGAAGATGAGCCCCATTGCATGCCCTGGGTTCTTGTTGCCTCCCTGTTATCAGGAATAGGAGGTGAGATAGATTGAAAGATGAAAATTGCTGGGACTTCTGCTGAGAAGAGAAAAAAGAACAAGATGTATTCATCTAACTGTATGCCAGTCCCCATGCCAAGCCCTAAACATGAACCATCTTATTGGATCCTTGCAGGGTCCTATAAGCCGTTGGACATCATCCTCATTTTACAGGGACCTGAGGCTCTTGGTTAAGATCCCTGACAGCAATACCAGCCCCTGAATCCTCAGCAGGATCCTTCACTTGGGTGCCCATTATGCAGGCTTCCTCAGCACAGGGAAGGTCACTCATCACCCACAGGCACTTGATTGTTATCCACCCTTTGATGATGTGAGATTCCAGAACACGCTGCACTGGTCTCTTCCTTGATAGGGAGAGAGGGGAGGTGTTATGAGAAAATCTCTCATCGATCTGACCTAGCTCCCTAATAAGAAGTAACTTTTTAAATGTCAGATGGAAATATTTAAAAAGTGTTACATACCTGTGTAGTTTTAGTATTTTACTTAAAGGGAATGTGGCTGTCTTTACTGGCTACAACCAGTTTAATTCAAGAAGGGCTGCTAGTCATCAGGGGAACAAGCAAGGGTTGGTGCTGCCCAGAGTCTCCAGCTAATACACAATATGGACATCCCCTTCCAGGGCAGCGGGAAGAGAGTGGCTCCTTGTGCAGTGAAGCTGACATCCACCAACTAAGGCTTCTGGAACCATGTGGAGACTCACAAGGAGTGGGCAGGGTCTCAGCATCTGGCTAGCAGTGAAAGACCCTGAGAAGAAGGTGCTTTCCACGTGGATTGGCTCACTGTTCTTGCCCAGTAATGTTCCAGACCCTTGGTTTCCACCTAGTGTGTATTAACCCACTGAACAGCCACAGAAACTAACAAGGAATTAACAGACATCTAAAGAAGTGAAGAACTGGAGGAGGCCAAGCCAATCGTGGTGGTCCACGCCTATACTCCCTGCATTTTGGGAGGCCAAGGCAGGAGAATCACAAGCTCAGGAGTTCCAGATCAGCCTGGGCAAGACAGCGAGACCTTGTCACCACTTAAAAAAACAAGCAAACAGGCATGGTTGCTCACACGCCTGTAGTCCTAGCTCCTCAGGAGGCTGAGGTGGGAGGATCGCTTGAACCCAGGAAATTGAGGCTGTAGTGAGCTATGATTGTGCCGCTGCACTCTAGCCTGAGTGACAGGAGACCTTTAAAAAACAAAAACAAAAACAAGCCTGACACAGTGGCTCACGCCTGTAATCCCAGCACTTTGGTAGGCCTACTTGCGTGGATCACCCAAAGTCAGGAGTTTGAGAACAGTCTGACCAACATAGTGAGGAAACCCTGTCGCTACTAAACATACACAAATTAGCTGGGCATGGTGGTGCATGCCTGTAATCTCAGCTACTTGGGAGGCTGAGGCAGGAGAATCATTTAAACCCCAGGTGGAGGTTGCAGTCAGCTGAGATGGCACCATTGCACTCTAAACTCCAACCTGGTCAACAAGCGTGAAACTCTGTCTCAAATAAAAGAATGGGAGGAAACTGATTACAATAACCAAATTTCATTTAAATGCCTTGATTTTCTTGGGTAGCATCTTATTGATTGGACAACTCAGTGCCTTTTGTTTTTTCCATCAATAACTGAAGATTCCTGAGGCTTAAACTGGAAAACAGGTTACTTAATAATAGAGGGCACTAGACAGTTACCACTCAGTTTTCCTTTATTTCTGATTGTTTCTTTACAACCATCCATGCAAGAGTAACTCCCTCATGTATTCTCAAGCCTCCACTCTAGACATTCAAATTCCCATTTTCCACTCTACAGGACACAGGTCCCCAAAGTCCCATCGAATCCATGGCAACACTTCCCCCAAGTCCTGCCCCTGCTTGATCACCTTCCCTTTCCCACTTTCAGAGCCCATGTGTGAAATGATGGGTTCTGTGCTCCCTATAGGATGTACCTAAGACCTAGGTTTTAGTTTCCAAGTGTCCAGAAGAAAGCGTTTGACATATCCACCCAAATAGGCAGGCATTCAACAGCAGCATTGATCTGCCTCCAGGTCATAAAATGACCTGTTGCCACAGTCAGGGCAGCAGTCAGTACAGAACAAGATCCTCTTGGGGTGCCTTAAGTCCCTCACTCTCTTCATCAGCTCAGCCCTAATTTGAGCAAATCTGCTCCAGCAGAGAGTACCATCAGCATCATAACTCTCCCGGGGGGCAGGATACAGCTCCACGCATAAGTTTTTGAGTATGATTGTGTGGCTCAGCAGGTTCTCCAGGGTGGCCATGGAGATGGGATTTCCACAGAAGCTGAAGGTGTTGAGCTCAAAGCAGCGGCTCAGGGCAGGCAGGATGGCGTTGACTTGGGAGTCTATGATGCCACAGTCATCTAAATCCAGGTACTCAAGGGTGGCTGCAACTTTTTCTAGGAGAATTTGGAGAGGCACAAGACTGTAATTGGTCAGTCTGATGCCACTCAGGTCCAGGGTCTTTAGTTGACTGATACTCGGGCACTGGGATAGATGCTTCAAGTCTGATTCCAAAAGCACACAGTTAGTTATTGTGAGGACCTTTAACGAGGTCTTCAGACAGCTGGGGAGAGAGAGCAAGAAGTTAATTCTGGGGAATCATAGGGGTGAGTGGAGGGTGGTGGGGAATGGCTTCAAGGTAATGGATGGAGACCATTTTGCCCAAGTCCAGGGTCATTCTGATGGCCTGATGGTCAACACTTAGGATGATGTGTGATGAAGAGTTTTGCCACCGAGGTCAATTCCACTTTAGGCCCGGCCCAGTAACTCACACCTGTAATCCCAGCACTTTGGGAGGCTGAGACTGGTGGATTCCTTGAGATCAGGAGTTTGAGACCAGCCTGCTGAACATGGCAAAACCTCCTCTCTACTAAAAATCCAAAAATTAGCCAGGTGTGGTGGCGGGAGCCTGCAATTCCAGCTACTTGGGAAGCTGAGGCAGAAGAATCGCTTGAACCCAGGAGGTGTAGGTTGCAGTGAGCAGAGATCATGCCACTACACTCCAGCCTGGGTGACAGAGAGAGACTCCGCATTAAAAAAAAAAAGGAGAAAAAAATAATTCCATTTGAGGCTGAGTCACTTCACCATCATTTATAGGAATGGATCAAGTTCACAGAATCCCTAAAGCTCCCTTTCCTCATCTGTCAGGCAGAAAACCACATCCCTGGGCCACAGGAGCCCAGTGGAGATTCAGGCATAAAGGACAAACCCAGACAGGATCCTGCAACATCAGCTACGGTGGGCGGGCTGCAGGCGTCCCTGACAAGCCTGTATCATCAGCAAACCATCTATCACTTTCACCATTCTTTGTGCCTGCTCCCTGACCCTCTGTTTCAGAATCATGCATTTCCTAGGTAATTAATTTACCTGGAGCTCAAAAGAAACTTTTACAACACGGAATTAGAGATGGGATCATTCATGTTCACGAAACTGTGGGGCACAAAGCTGATTTTCTGACATGTGCAGGTTTGCTGAGCATTCCCCTCTTCAGTGCCCACTTCACTTCCCTACTTCACATCATCTTCTTAAAAATTATCTTGTTGGCTGGGCGTGGTAGCTCTCGCCTATAATCCCAGCACTTTGGGAGTCCAAGGTGGGTGGATCACCTGAAGTCAGGAGTTGGAGAATAGCCTGGCCAACATGGTGAAACCCTGTCTCTACTTAAAATATAAAAATTAGCCAGGTGTGGTGGCTCACGCCTGTAATCCCAGGCACTCAGGAGGCTGAGGCAGGAGAATCGCTTGAACCTGGGAGGCAGAAGTTGCTGCGAGCTGAGATGTCACAACTGCACTGTAGCCTGGACGATCAAAGTGAAACTCCATCTCAGAAAAGAAAGTTATCTTGTTTGTTTTTACTTTTATTTATTCATTTCTGACAGGGGTCTTGGTATGTTACCCAGACTGGTCTTAAACTCCTAGGCTCAAGCTATCCTCTTGCCTCAGACTCCCAAACTGCTAGGATTACAGGCATGAGCCACCGCCCCTGGCCTATTTTTCATCATCTTAACTTAGACACACATCCTCAGGAAGAATTCAGAAAGGCACCCTCACTAGATCTGAACCCCCCAGGAGCTAGCTTCCTAGCATGGCAGCCTCTCCATAGCATCTCCCCTAGCTGATCCCTCTGCCTCTATTGGGAGGGTTGCATGATACCCATTTCAGGACAGGGCCGCCAACAGGACAATGCATGGACATTCTAGTGTCCCCTTCACTGTTTCATCCTCATAGGCTGGCTCACAGTAGATGCCCACTAGCGTTTACTGTAACAGGCTCTGCTGTGGTCTGCAGAGAAAGCTCACCACCCTCCCTCACCTGAGCAGCTGGTCCAGGTGGCCTTCGAGGAAAGAAACAGAGTTCATAGAAAGCTTTTGGAGGCAGCACAGCTTGAGGAACTGAGTGGTGAACTGGGTAACAATCTCCTTCTTCTGCTCTGGGGAAACGTAGCGAGAGACATCCATGTGGGAGAGAACGAGCTTCTGAAGATTCCTCATGTGGCCCAGGTATGGGGTAAACTGTGTCAGGATGGGCAGTACCCACTTGCAATTCACTTCCACCTCCTGGATACAGTCTAGGTTCACCATTTTCAGGATGCTTCTGATATTGCGGAAGGGCATTCCCAAAATTTTCAGCTTCTTACAGCACAGGTGTAGTAAATCTTTCCTCTGCTTGACCCATAGAAGGAGGCAGGTGAGGTATTCATCCAGAGTCCTGTTCTTGAGCCAAAGTTCTACGAACACAGTCAAGGGCTGCTGTCCTCTCATCCTTGGACAGTCCTGCACTGGTGTTTTGTTCCTCTTGGCATTGAGGAAGCACCCACGGGCCATAGCTTCAGACCAAACCATCCAGAAGTTCTCACAGACATCCTGTAAATCCAGCACTTGAAGTTTCCACCTCCTGTGGGAAAATAGAGGTGAGAATGAGAATTTCAGAACTCATTTCTGAACTTAAACTCCACATCCTGCATAGCAGCTCCTCCCCTCCCTGCTTCTTCTCCCTCTCTCTGACTTTTCTTCACCCTGTTTTCCCCTTGGATCCTGCCCACTTCCACATTTTTTTGTTTTTCTTTTGAGACCAAGTCTCCCTCTGTCACCCAGGCTGGAGTGCAGTGGTGTGATGTCACCTCACTGCAACCTCTGCTTCCCGGGTTCAAATGATTCTCCTGCCTCAACCTCACAAGTAGCTGGGATTACAGGAACCCACCACCATGCCCAGCTAATTTTTGTATTTTTAGTAGAGTTGGGGTTTACCATGTTGGACAGGCTGGCCTCCAACTCTTGGCCTCAGCCTCCCAATGTGCTGGGATTACATTGTGAGCCACCGTGCCCGGCCCAGTTCTCACTTTTCATGGTGCCTTTCAGTGCCATTAGAGGAGAGGTTCCTGTTACCTCCATGGACCTTGCGTGGTGAGCAGTGCTTTCCCTGAGGAGCTGGTGAATGGCCAAGTCCTCTCGGCTTCCTCACCACCACCATCCCCCTTGGGCCTCCTCACTTGTCATGACACAGCTCTTCCTTTGGTTGGATACCTGGGCCCTCCCCACCAGCCCACCTGGGCCACCTCACCTGGGATGAACCCCTTGGGTAAGCAGTGCATCCAGCCCATCGAGCACAGCTTGGAAGGCCTCCAGACAAGGCATCTTTATCAGAGGCCTCAGAGGGAGGCGGCGGAAGGGCCAGGCCTGCACCATCAGCTTCAGGGCCTCACAGCGTCTCCTGCTGAAGGCCTCCATGAACAGTGGGGGGAAAAGTTCTGTGGGCAGCTCCTCCAGGGTGGACATGGCCAAGGCTTGGTCCCTCAGCAGGCTCCGCCCTGCAAGCTCCAGGAGTCTGGGTGGAGTCCGGATGCTCATCTTCACGAATCTGCAGGGAAAACTTCCAGAGGACAAACCCAGAGAAAAGGCATCACTCTCAGGCCAAGCCCATGCAATCTTATCTTCTCCCAAGGCCAAAGTCACTGCTCTGGCAATGGTGAAACAGCCCTCAGTTTACTCCAATTCTGCCCTGTACTCAGTGGCCATTAAGCCAGCATTCTGCCTCTGCTGCATCAGCATGAGCGTCTCCGAAGCAGTGAGGAAGCAGGGCCACCACGAGCCCTTCCTTTCTATCCAGTGCTCCATCCAGTGACTAGTGAGTGTGGAGGAACCTGAAAGTGAACCCCTCCTACCATTGGGGGAAATTACTAATTACTCAAGGTTCTAAAACAATGGGAATGGGAATGTCACAAGCCTACATGCCCACATTTTCAGTTCCTACAAATAAGCTTGTTGGGAACATTCATGGGGCATCCCTAGAACAGGTTCTATTTGTTTTCTTTTCATTATTTAAGCTTGCTTTCTCTTTCTCTCTCTTTCTTCTTTCCTTCTTTCCCTCTCTCCCTCCCTTCTTTCTTTCTTTCCTCCTCTCTCTCCCTCTTTCTTTCTTTCCCCCTCTCTCTGCCTTCTTTCTTTCTTGTCTTCTTTCCCTGCATCCCTTCTCTCATTCTCTCTCTCTTTCTCTCTCTCCCTCTCTCACTCTTTCTGACAGGGTCTTGCTCTGTCACTCAGCCTGGAGTGTAGTGGTGGGATCTCAGCTCAGTGCAGCCTTGACCTCCCAGCTCAAAGGATTCTTCCTCCTCAGCCTCCCAAGTAGCTGGGACCACAGTTATGCATCACCACACCCAGCTCATCTTTTATTTTTTGACTTTTTGTAAAGACAGTGGATTTCGCTATGTTGTCCAAGCTGGTCTTGAACTCCTAGTCTCAAGCAATCTACCCCTGTTGGCCTCCCAACATACTGGGATTATAGGTGTGAGCCTCCACCCCTGCCTCATTATTGAAAATTTCAGTGAGAAGCTCTGAAAGCTATGTGACACTGTTATGCATTACTCACAAGATAGATGTTTCCAATGCACACCTCTTACACATATTCAAAGTGAACCACTTTGGCTGGGTGCAGTGACTCACACCTGTAATCTGAGCATTTTGTGAGGCCGAGGCAGGTGGATCATCTGAGATCAGGAGTTCAAGACGAGCCTGGCCAACATGGTAAAACCCTGCCTCTACTA
The DNA here is from genome assembly GCF_000001405.40 of Homo sapiens. NCBI lineage: Eukaryota > Metazoa > Chordata > Mammalia > Primates > Hominidae > Homo > Homo sapiens. Next base: position 12,943,712 of record NC_000001.11, read on the forward strand.
AGACAGCAAAAATTAGCCAGGTGCAGTGGTCTGCGCCTGTAGTCCAAGCTACTAGGGAGGCTGAGGTAGGAGGATCGCTTGAATCCAGGAGGCAGAAGTTGCAGTGAGCTGACATTATACCACTCCACTCCAGCCTGGGAAATAGGCTAGATTGAACAGAGAGACAGAGAGAGCTACATTTGATTAGAATTCTTAATCTCTACCCAGTTAATCCTGATTGGATTTTTGCCTTTCTTAAATATTAACTGATCAAATTAGATATTCATTCATCAAAATGAAAGATTTAGGGATAGGGTGAAAGTCCAGGACTCATTCACTGATTCCCTTCACAAACATGGGGTTTTACTAATATGTGTCCTTCAAAGTCCTGAGTGTGAGACAGGGAAGGGTTGAACCTCTTCCTGATATTAGACAGAAAGAAAGAAAACTTGAAAGTATCTTTGTTGAGGGATCCTTGGCCATGCCAAGTTTATCAAAATATTTCAGGGTTAAAACAGTTTTCAGAGACAGAGATGACAGTCCCTAAGAAAACACAATAGAAATCTTCATATATCCAATGATCACCTAGGTGGCATAAGTCTTTTTGGTGTTGAGGGAGCTGAATCTCACTTCATCGGCCAGGCTAGAGTGCAGTGGTGTCATTTCGGCTCACTGTTGCCTCGGCCTCCAAGATTCAAGCAATTCTCATGCTTCAGCCTTCCACATAGCTGGGACTACAGGCATGCACCCCCTGCAGCCATGTCTCCATTTGGGTGGAAGAGGATGTGATTGGTTTAAAATTAAGGTCAAAGATCCTTTTTGATTGATTTTGTTTTTGTTTTTTGGACAGGGTGTCTCTCTTTTGCCCAGGCTGGAGTACAGGAGTGGTATGAGCATGGCTCACTGCAGCCTCAATCTTCTGGTCTCAAGTGATTCTCCCACACCAGACACCCAAATAGCTGGGACTACAGATGCATGTCACCATGCTCGGCTAATTTAAAAAAAAAAAAGTAGAGGCCAAGCACCAGTGACTCACAGCTGTAATCCCAGCACTTTGGAAGGCCAAGGCAGGTGGATCACTTGAGGTCAGGTGTTCGAGACCAACCTGGCCAGCATGGTGAAACCCCACCTCTACTAAAAATACAAAAATTAGCCAGGCATGGTTTCAGATGTCTGTGACACCAGCTTCTGAGGATGGAGACTGAGGCATGAGAATTGCTTGAACCCGGGAGGTAAAGGTTGCAGTGATTTGAGATCGTGCCACTGCACTCCAGTCTGGGCAACACAGTGAGACTCCATCCCCACCCTCAAAAAAAAAAAACGTTGTGTAGAGGAGGGCTTTTGTCATGTTGCCCAGGTTGGTCTCAAACCCCTGGGCTGAAATGATCCTCCCACTTTGGCCTCCCAAAGTGTTGGGGTTAAAGGCATGAGTTATTGCTCCCTTCAAGAATTTTAAAATGGCATCAACCAAAGCACAATCAACTTTTTTGAAATAAAGACAGAACTGCATTTAGAGGAAAACATTCAAAGCTTCAAATTGTTCATATGAAAAAAAAAAAGGACAGGATATAGCTCTGTGCCATCGTAGGCTGTACTGTCACCACCCCAGACCGACTGACTGTAGGTCAGATGGGAGTGTCCTTACAGAAATTAGTGACTTACCAGATCTGGATGTAGTCTAGAAGGTGCTCAGTCCTCAGGAAGAACCAAGCAGGAACTCTAGGCTTGAAGACTTTGGGTCTCTCCTGTGGGTCTTTAGAAGCTTTTATTGACCTTTCTAATCACAACTCCCACCCACGCCCCTGCACATATCCGCTGCGACCTTCCAATCAAAAAATGATATCTGATTGCATTTGTGAAGCTCCACCCAGTTAATCCTGATTGGGTTTTTGGCTCTCCCCAGATTACCGGATTGAATCAGATGTCCATTCATATCACATATCTATATTCACTTCATGAAGCAAGAAATCGACAGTGTTAGGGATAGGGTAGAAGTCAAGAATACATTCATTCAAGGCCAGACGAAGTGGCTCACACCTGTAATCCCAGCACTCTGGGACGCAGAGGTAGGTGGATTATCTGAGGTCAGGAGTTTGAGACAAGCCTGGCCAACATGGTAAAACCCTACCTCTACTAAAATTACAAAAATTAGCCAGTTGCGGTGGTCTGTGCCTATAGTCCAAGCTACTAGGGAGGCTGAGACAGGAAGATCGCTTGAACCCAGGAGGCAGAGGTTGCAGTGAGCTGACAATACACCACTGAACTCCAGCCTGGGAAATAGGCTAGATTCAAAAAAAAAAAAAAAAAAAAAAAAAAAAAAAAAAAGAAAAAGAAAAAGGAGAGAGAGAGAGCTAGATTTGATTCGAATTTACCCAGTTAATCCTGATTGGATTTTTGGCTTTCTTCCAGATTTACTGATGGAATTAGATATTCACCCATCAAAGTGAAAGATTTAGGGATGGGGTGGAAGCCCAGGACTCATTCACTGATTCCCTTCACAAACAAAATGGGGTTTTATTAATATGTGTCCTTCACAGTCCTGAGTGTGAGATAGGGAAGGGTTGAATCTCTTCCTGATATTAGACAGAAAGAAAAAACTTGAAAGTATCTTTGTTGAGGGATCCTCGGCCACATCAAATTTATCAAAATATTTCAGAGTTAAAACAGTTTTCAAAGACAGAGTTGACAGTCCCCAAGAACACACAATAGAAATCTTCATGTATCCAATGATCACCTGGGTGGTATAATCTAATTTTTTTTGGTGTGGGGGAAGCTGAGTCTCACTTTGTCGCCCAGGCTGGAGTGCAGCGGCGCCATCTCAGCTCACTGTAACCTCCACCTCTGAGATTCAAGCAATTCTCATGCTTCAGCCTTCCACGTAGCTGGGATTACAGGCATGCACCCCCACACCCATGTCTCCATTCGAGTGGAAGAATTACAGTGAGGACGTGATTGGTTTAAAATTAAGGTCATAGATCCTTTTTGGTTAAGATATTGTTTTTGTTTTTTGGACAGGGTCTCTCTCTTTTGCCCAGGCTGGAGTACAGCAGTGGTGTGAGCATGGCTCACTGCAGCCTCAATCTTCTGGGCTCAAGTGATTCTCCCACACCAGCCACCCAAATAGCTGGGACTACAGATGCATGTCACCATGCTCGGCTAATTAAAATAAAAAAAAGTAGAGGCCAAGCACCAGTGACTCACAGCTGTAATCCCAGCACTTTGGGAGGCCAAGGCAGGTGGATCACTTGAGGTCAGGTGTTCGAGACCAACCTGGCCAGCATGGTGAAACCCCACCTCTACTAAAAATACAAAAATTAGCCAGGCATGGTTTCAGATGTCTGTGACACCAGCTTCTGAGGATGGAGACTGAGGCATGAGAATTGCTTGAACCCGGGAGGTAAAGGTTGCAGTGATTTGAGATCGTGCCACTGCACTCCAGTCTGGGCAACACAGTGAGACTCCATCCCCACCCTCAAAAAAAAAAAAACGTTGTGTAGAGGAGGGCTTTTGTCATGTTGCCCAGGTTGGTCTCAAACCCCTGGGCTGAAATGATCCTCCCACTTTGGCCTCCCAAAGTGTTGGGGTTAAAGACATGAGTCATTGCTCCCTTCACGAATTTTAAAATGGCATCAACCAAAGCACAATCAACTTTTTTGAAATAAAGACAGAACTGCATTTAGAGGAAAACATTCAAGCTTCAAATTGTTCATATGAAAAAAAAAAGGACAGGATATAGCTCTGTGCCATCGTAGGCTGCACTGTCACCATCCCAGACCGACTGACTGTAGGTCAGATGGGAGTGTCCTTACAGAAATTAGTGGCTTACCAGATCTGGATGTAGTCTAGAAGGTGCTCAGTCCTCAGGAAGAACCAAGCAGGAACTCCAGGCTTGAAGACTTTGGGTCTCTCCTGTGGGTCTTTAGAAGCTTTTATTGACCTTTCTAATCACAACTCCCACCCACGCCCCTGCACATATCCGCTGCTACCTTCCAATCAAAAAATGATATCTGATTGCATTTGTGAAGCTCCACCCAGTTAATCCTGATTGGGTTTTTGGCTCTCCCCAGATTACCGGATTGAATCAGATGTCCATTCATATCACATATCTATATTCACTTCATGAAGCAAGAAATCGACAGTGTTAGGGATAGGGTAGAAGTCAAGAATACATTCATTCAAGGGTGGGTGAGGTGGTTCATAGCTGTAATTCCAGCACTTTGGAAGGACAAGGTGAGTAGATCACCTGATGTCAGGGGTTCAAGACGAGCCAGGTCAAAAAGGTGAAACCCTGTCTCTACAAAAATACAAAAATACAAAAATTAGCTGGGCATGATGGCAGGTGCCTGAAACCCAGCTACTTGGGAGGCTGAGGCAGGAGAATTGCTTGAACCCAGGAGGCAATGGTTGCAGTGAGCCAGAATTGTGCCACTGCACTCCAGTCTGGGTGACAGAGGGACATTCTGTCAAAAAATAAAAAAATCATTCATTCATGAACTCCACAAACACTGATGGTATTTTACTAATATGTGAACTTCATAGTCTTGAGTGACAGGCAGGGAAGGATTTGATCTGTTCCCAACATTAGACAGAAAAATAAAATCTGAAAGTAGTGTTGTTAGGAAATCTTTGGCCACATCAAAATATAAAAATGCTTTCTACTTTAAAAAGCTTTATAAAAACAGAGGAGTCGTCCCTAGGAAATCAGAATAAAAATCTCAACGTATTGAATGGTCTTCGGGATTTTGTATAACCTAAGGTAGCAGATTACATGCTCGTTCTGGTGGAGGAGAGGTGCCACTGAGGGCGTGAGTGGTCTCAGGGCTTAGGTTAAGTCTTCTTTGGAAGAAATTGAAGCCACATCGATAAACTTTATAAATTTAATCAGTGAAGAAGGGAGGGAGAGAAACAAAAATAAACCAAGCTTGGAACACATTCAGCATTCATCAGGAGGTCTTCTTGCTCTCTGACCTGGTTCCTCATGGTTGCTGGCAACCTACTGTTCCAAAATCATATAGACCTTAGATTACAGTTCCCCTTAACTTCCCTGCAGACAACCATTTAAGCATTGTAAAACATTAACTTTTTCATCTGAGATATTCTTTCAGGTTCTGCATGTCAGTGAATCTACTGATGCCAGCTGATCTGAAGGGCCCTGCAATGCACCAACTCACCAAAGAATGCAGTTTCTACATCCTGTTGACTTCTTCCCTCTTACCGCTACCCCAACTTTCCAGCCCCTTGCTATCCAGGATCCACTGGAAACCCTCAGTACTCCTTGGGGAGATGAATTTGAGGATCTCCTCCTAGCTTCTCATTCAGCCACCTTGTGATCATTAAACTCTCTGCTGCAAACCCTGCTGTCTCAGAATATTGCTAAGCTACTGTGCAGCAGGCATAGGAACCTGATGGTCCTGTAATAAAGTCATGTCAAAATTACAAATGGAAGTGAGGGTGGAGCTGGTCAGGGTTGAGCTGGGTTTTTAATGGGAACCTGGGAGTGAAGCAAGACTTGCTGAACATGTTGGGGGTTATCGAGTGGGTGTAAGAGGAATCTATCTAACATTGCACTGATGCCCTTTTGGTTTTAATCCTCATGACCAAGTATGAGTCTTTCAAAACAATTTGTATAATCCTCCTTATTTTTCCTTTCAAAACCTTCAACTTCCTTTATCTCCCCAAATAATCTCACATCTATTCCCATTTCTTTGCTTACTACATAATAAACATTTTTTTTACAGAGTCTTCTTCTCTGTTAAGTAGACCACATATGTTGTTGCCACACAAGATGAGCAACCTGGTTCTATGGACAGAAAGGGTCAAAAGGATCCCATTCCTCAACAGCTGGGGGTGATGTAAAGGTCATGGTTATTCTTTGTCATATCTGCACCTGCATATTGCCAGTGAAAACTTGCAGGTTACATTGGGCAGGCTTCCAAATTCACCACCTGTGGAAGGTCTTTTGCTTGGCTTACATCCTGTCCCTGAGTAAAGAATCTCATGGTGAGTTCATGAGTGCCTCAAACTCTGCAAGTATTGATGAAGGCTTCCACCCACTGACAGTGAGAAGGCACTGATTTGCTTCTGATCATGAAGTTTTGCTGGTTGTCTTGCAAGGAATATGTTTTATTCTTTTATCTTGTCATCTAAAGCCAATGATTGTAACCTCTGTATTGTCTCTTCCAATGGAAAAAACGAAAACAAAAACTCAACTCTATTTGAGCCTTGTCAGGTCAATAAAACAAAAGAAAATTTAAAAAAATAATTGATAGGAGGAGTCCCATTCCCAGCCTGGGCAATAGAGTGAGACTCCATCTCAAAAGAAAAAAAAAAAAAGGCCGGGCACGGTGGTGGCTCACACCTGTTATCCCAGCACTTCAGGAGGCCAAGGCAGGTAGATCCCGATGCCAAAAAATTGAGACCATCCTAGCCAACATGGTGAAACCCTGTCTCTGCTAAAAATACAAAAATTAGCTGAGCATGGTGGCGCCCACCCATAGTCCTAGCTACTCGAGAGACTGAGGCAGGAGAGTCGCTTGATCTCAGGAGGAGGAGGTTGCAGTCAGCCAAGATTTCACCACTGTACTCCAACTTGGTGACAGAGCGAGACTCCATCTCAAAACAAACAAACAACGAAACAAACACAAATGAACAAACAAAGGAAAAAGCTGGAAAAATAAATTCTGAAAGAATTTCCATCTCTATGAATTCATCTTCAGAAGTGATAGCATTTCCTGCTTGGCATTTTTCGCCTACATTTTTGGCATAAGATCTATCAACAAAAAAGTATGAACCCAGGTTTGTGTAATGGAATATCTTAAACATCAATAGGAGGAGTCAATAGTTCTGATGCCACACACACATATATGGTCTTCTCCATCATCAGAAAATGGCAACAAAGTGGTAGAGTTATGCAGAGTGTAGCATTTGAAATGGAGATTTGAAGGTGACAAGGAAAGGATTTTGTAAGACATTAGTGTACAAGTTGAGCAATGTTGGTTCCTGTCACAGTATTTTTAGTTATTTTTTTATTTATTTTATTCATTTATTTTTTGAGATGGAGTCTCACTGTGTCACCAGGCTGGAATGCAGTGGCACGATCTCAGCTCATTTCAACCTCTGCCTCCCCGGTTCAAGCAATTTTCCTGCCTTAGCCTCCTAAATAGCCGGGACTACAGGTACATGCCACTACACCTGGCTAATTTTTTGTATTTTTAGTAAAGACGGGGTTTCACCATATTAACTAGGATGGTCTCAATCTCCTGACTTCGTGGTCTGCCTGCCTCGGCCTCCCAAAGTGCTGGATTACAGGCCTCAGCCACCATGCCTGGTCGGTTCACATCAAAATTTAAGAGGTATTCAATTGCATATGAAACTTGTAGGCAAAATTTATTTCTTTTTTCTTTAAAGCATTAATTTATTTATTTATAATGTATTTATTTATTAATTTTTTTTTGAGATGGAGTTTTATTCTTGTTTTCCAGGCTAGAGTTCAATGGTGCGATCTCAGCTCACTGCAACCTCTGCCTCCCGGTTCAAGTGATTCTCCTGCCTCAGTCTCCCAGTTAGCTGGAATTACAGGCACAGGCCACCACACACAGCTAGTTTTTGTATTTTTAGTAGAGACAGAGTTTCACCATGTTGCCCAGGCTGGTCTGGAACTCCTGACCACAGGTGATGCACCCACCTCGGCCTCTGAAAGTGCTGAGATTACAGGTGTGAACCACCGTGCCCGGCCTACACTCATCACTTTTAATACTTTCTACATCACATGAGGAAGAAGAGCAGAAACACTTGAGTACTTCATGAAGGTCAAGGTTGGTATGAGTTTGGGTTCTAATATGATCAATTTCTGCTTCTAGGGAACCAAGCAGCTCAGGTTAAGGAAGGTCAGGAAACTCTAGGGTTTTCTCTCCCTTCAAAGAAAGCTTTACGTATCACCTTAATGGAGAAAGCAAATCTCATCCCCATGTTGTCACCTAATAAAAAGCCATACTTTCCTAAAAATGGTCCAAATGTCATTTGGACTGCTTTGAACACAGGAATTTTCTGAGCTTCATGTGAAGCTTTCAGTGAATTTCATGTGAATTCACTCCTGGTCCAATGAAGCCATTTCCTGGCATGGCCAAAGATCAGGAACGGATTCCTCTGGATCTGTCCATTAGGAGTGAGCAGGGTCTCAGTATCTGGGGAGCAGTGAGGGCCCCTGAGAAGAGGGTAGGTTTCAGTGGCTCATCATCACTGCCCACACAGAATGTTCCAGGCCCCAAGTGTGCATCCTTTGTGAATGAACCCAGTGAACAGGCATGGGAGAAATTAAGGAAGAAACAGATGACTGAAAGGAAGCAAAAAATGAGTGAGAACTAATCAAAATGATCACATTTCAGTTTTGATGCCTTGATTTGCTGCAGCTGAACCTCAATCACAGATGACGTAGTACCTCTCATCAGTAACTAGAGATTTCTGATATATAAATGGCTAAAACAGGTTGATCAATCATGGAAGACACCAGAAAGTTTCCATTCAGGTTCCATTTATTTTTGACATTTTTAAATAACCATCCTTGCGAGGGTAACTCCTGCATCATTCTAGAACTTCAGGTTCCATTTCCGAGTCTAGGAAACAGGTCCCTGAAGGCTTTATTGATGCCAAGTCAGCATTTTCACCAAGTCCTGCCCCCAGCTGAGTCACCTTTGTTTTTCCACTCACAGTCAGCACGTGCCTGAAACACATGACCGTGTGCTTCCTTTAAGATGCACCTGACCGGGCCAGGCTGCTCATGCCTGTAAACCCGGCACTGTGGAAGTCCAAGGTAGTCAGATCACTTGAGGTCAGGAGTTTGAGGCCAGCCTCCTCCAACATCGTGAAACCCTGTCTCTACTAAAAATACAAAAATTACACTTTGGGAGGCCGAGGCGGGTGGATCACGAGGTCAGGAGATCGAGACCATCTTGGCTAACTTGGTGAAACCCTGACTCTACTAAAAATACCAAAAATTAGCTGGGTGTGGTGGTGGGCACCTGTAGTCCCAGCTACTCTGAAGGCTGAGGCAGGAGAATGGCGTGAACCCTGGAGGCGGAGGTTGCAGTGAGCCGAAATCGTGCCAGTGCACTCCAGCCTGGGTGACAGAGCGAGACTCTGTCTCAAAAAAAAAAGAAAAAAAATACAAAATTAGCTGGATGTGGTGGTGCATGCCAGTAACACCAGCTACTAGGGAGGCTGAGGCAGGAGAATCACTTGAACCTGGGAGGTGGAAGTTGCAGTGAGCTGAGATTGTGCCAGTGCACTTCAGCCTGAGGGACAGAGTGAGACTCCATCAAAAAAAAAAAGCACCTGTGTCCTAGATTTTAGTGCCCAAGGGTCCAGAAGAAAACGTGTCCATCCCACTAGCCAGGCCTTCCCTAAGAGCAAAGATGGAGGTCCACTTTCTCAGATGGCCATGAGCCACAGGAAGGGCAGGGGACGGGACCAAAAAAGATCCTCTTGGGCTGCCTGACTTCCCTGAGTGTACACATCAGCTCAGCCCGAATTGGGGCAAGGATCTCCCAATTGGCATGACCCCTGTTGTCAAGACTCTCCAGACGGGAAGGATACAACTCCAGGCCTAACTTGCTCAGCCCACCTGTGTGACACAGAAGGTCTTTCAGAGCATTCATGGAAGTCTCGTTTCCTTGAAAGTAGAAGGTGGTGAGCTGGGAGCAGTGGCTCAGGGCAGGCAGGAGGACCCTGAGTTGGGAGTCCTGGATCTGACAGTCCTTTAACGTGAGGGTCTCAAGAGTAGCAGCAACTTTCTCTAGCAGAGCTCCAAGGGGCTCAAGATTGGTGGTCCACATTAGGATATGAATCAGATGCAGCTCCTTTAGCTGACTGAGGCTTGGGTACTGAGACAGACACTCCATGTCCCGATCAGCTAGGTAAGCATGACAGAATATAAAGGCCCCCAAGAGGTTCTTGAGGCACCTGGGGAGAGCAAGAAATTAGTTATGGGCAATGGTGCCAGTTAGAGGAGAGGGGTGGGAAATCATCTCAATGGTAAACTTGAAGTGGGCATTGAGTAATTCTGCACCTTACTACCACACAGGTGTTATAGTAACTGCAATGGGGAAGCCTGTTTCACCCAAACACAAGTTTGTTCCCATCATCAGATGATGGTCTGTGTGCAAGGTGCTGCCTGATGAAGACTCAGATCATTCAGGGGCAGCTCCATTTTAGGCTCAGTCCTTTCAGCCTTGCTTGTGTGATTGGTTCAAGGCCACAAAATCTTTAAAGCCTCTTTACTGCATCTTTCAGCAGACAACCTCATCTCTGGGCCAGAGGAGCCCAGTGGGAGATGTGCACAAAGAACTCAACTGAGCAAGGTCTAGGGACATCAGCTAGGGCCACCTGCCTGCAAAGGTTCCCTGACGTGCCCGCGTCTGCAAACCACCTATCACTTTATACCACTCTCCTGCCTACTCCCTCACCTCTGTCCAAGAAGCATGCTTTTCTCATGTCAACTACTTTTCCTGGGGTTCAAAAGAACCTTTTACAGACAGAGAATTAGAGGCAGGATCATTGGTGTTTACTAAGCTGTGAGGACGGAGCTTCTACTGTGAAACGCACAGGTTTGATGCACTTTCCCTTCTTTCATACTCTCCTCTATATGAAGAGTAAGTTTCATCATATTAACTTCAAACGCACTTCCTAAAAAGGAATTC